>NC_000010.11:3797878-3949393 GCF_000001405.40 Homo sapiens | reverse complement strand
CACCCCCACTCGATGAAGACAAAATTATAAACCAAGTTGTTTTACACTGATTCAAATACAGGTTAAATTTATTGGACTGATCCTTACTTACAAAAGTACTTTTCGGTATTTAAGGTAATTTTTAATGTATTTTTCTTAAAGTGATAGTTTCATGCAATCTTTATGGCAAGTTTTGCTGCATGTTTATTTTCTGAATTGTATTCATGTTTGATAATCGTTTGGAACTGTATTCTGGTGTGCGCGCTTAGTCAACACAGGATGTGGAAGACGGTACCAGTCAATCTCCATGGTAACCACACTGGCCACCCTCCAAGCATTTTACACAGGTTGCCTCATGTGTCCTCTGCCACAAACCAACCAGAGGAGGTAGCACTGTTAGCATCCCCATTTCACAGATGAGGAATCCGAGGCCCAGAGCTTTTCAGTTGCTCCCTCCAGGTCACAGGGCTGACCCGGGGCAGGGTGAGGACACACTCTGGCTTCGGGCTGCCGGGAGCCCTGAGTACCACACATACATTACGGAGACCCTACTTCCTCCTCCAGGGTAAGGAAGATCTTCCCACCCGCTACGGCCAAAGCTTTTGCCTTTCTGTAACCTCTATTCCATAATAAAGCCAAAAGAACTTTCAGAAAGAAAACCTGAACAGCAGGGTGGTGGAGCCACCCACTTTCCACGCGCGTATCCGGCTTTTCTCCTGCAGCGTGCTGTGTTTGAAGTCAGTCATGTGGATGCAGCCATCAGTAGTTTGTGTCTTCAGGCAACGCTGGAAAAGGACTAGAGGCCCTGGGGTGTTGGGAAGACACCACTCTGGTTTGGGTGGTGAGTGATAAAGGTTGCATACGTAAAATTTCACTGATTTGTGCACTTCACTGCAAATTATACCTCTGTAAATAAAACACAGTGGGGCAAACTGTTTTAAAAAAGTCAATGTTATTAGAGCATTTACCTTCTTAAAAATCTCTGATAATCGCCCATCGCTGTTAGCCCCAATTTAGTGCCACCTCCCTCAGCCTCCCTTCCACCCTCTCCACATCCCACCGGACTGGCCCCCTGGTCATCCTCCAACGTGCCAAGCCCCATCCTCTCCTACCGCTGGGCTCTGGGCATGACCTTGCCTGTGTCCAGAACATTGAGCCATTTGCCTGGCCAACACTAACTCTTCATTTAGATCCGAGCTTCCACAGAAAAAATTAGGTCAGGTCACCAAAATACACCCCTTTCTGGCTCCTCTCTATGTTTCTTTCATGATTATAGTTTTACATTTTTTTTTTTGCTGTTGCTATTTTTTGTTTGTTTTCATTTTAATAGATTTTATTCTTTTTATTTATTTTATTTTATTTTATTAAGACAGTGTCTGGCTCTGTCCCCAGGCTGGAGTACAGTGGTCTGATCATAGCTCATTGCAACTTCCACCTCCACCTCTCAAGCGATCATCCTGCCTCACACTCCCAAGTAACTGGGGCTACAGGCTCATGCCACCACACCTGGCTAATTTTTGTATTTTTTGTAGAGACAGGGTTTCACCATATTGCTTAGGCTGGTCTTGAACTCCTGGGCTCAAGTGATCCGCCCGCCTTGGCCTCCCAAAGTGCTGGTATTATAGGCATTAGCCACCATGCCTGGCTGATTTTATGCTTTAGAGAAGTTTTAGGTTTACGCAACCATAAGAGGAAAAGTCAGAGAGTTTTCCCCCGACATTCCCTGCCCCATTTATGTGCAGCCTCCCCCATCAGTACCAGCACATTTGTCTTTCCAGTTCTTCACTTCGTGTGCTTTTCCTTCTTGACTGTAAACTCCATAAGGACAAGAACTGTCTGCTTTTGTTCTAACGTATCTCTATCCTTTTCTCTGATACACCACTGCTTCTTTTCTCTGAATTTTAAATTCAGTTCTTATTCTAGTTTGCTTTGCAGGTCAGTGAATTTGATTCAAACACTTATTATTAGACTTGTAAAAATAAATTTTTATTTTATTTTTGGGAGAGGGGATATAGCTGTAAAATGACTTTTAAAACAAAGGCTTAGTGGTCTGCAAAGGTAGTAGAGTCTAACACGGAGAAACCAGAAACTTTGAGGTTTATAATTGAATTATTTGTAACTAAATGAAAGAAAGTTTACTGGAAGCTGTATCCCTAATTCCTAAAGATTACAGAGCTTTCTTAGAATTGGGTGTTAAAAATCACAGCACAAAAGGAAAAAGAAGATTAAAAAGATTTTTTTTCTGTGACTCATTAAAAGAGAAAGAGAGAGGTGGAGGAAGAGAGAGAGAGAGAGAGAGAAAAAGAAAGAAAGAGAAAGAAAGAGGGAGGGAGCTAGGGAAGGAAGAAAGGAAGGAAGGAGAGAGGGAGGGAGGGAAAGAAAGAAGAAAAGAAAGAAAGAAAAGAAATAAGGAAGGAAGGAAAGAAAGAAAGAAAGAAAGAAAAAGAAAAGAGAAAAAGGAAGGAAGGAAAGAAAAAAAGCAAGGAGGGAGGGAAAGGGAGGGGGGGGATGGATAAAAAGAACAGAAAAAAGAATGAAAGTTTAAAAATGAAAGAAATGAAGGAAGAAAAGATAAAAGAAGAAAGGAAGAGAGGGGGGAAAATCTCCCAGTTTCTATATAAAACAGGAATAAGAAATTTGTATAGACAGCGACTGCTCCCTTTAAACCCCACCCTGGTCCTCAATTGGCTAGAATTTTGATTTCCCACCTAATTTCATCAAACTCCTCTTACTCATGTTGCAAGACACAGTCTCCGATATTTTCTATTTTATCCCTACTATTCAATTATAATATATTCCACAATGTCTTAATCTATTAAATTCTACTGTATTCTATTTTAGAACTCTACTTTGCAACTAAATTATTTTACCGCTATGACATGCCTTTGAAAAAGGAGCGTGCCAGATGCAAAGGTTGGTGTTCATGAGGTAGAGCCTACCGAGAAAGGGCCAAACAGAAATCTGCTCAAACTGGTTTGCAGCCACTGTGGAAGCTGAGAAGCCTGATTGTCACTGGCCAAGTCTCCCTTTTCAGTGACTTGTTCTGTTAGCATTCCTTTACCTCTCTGGAGATATGAACTACGATGGTTGTAGAGGCTTCACATAATTCTCATCCATAAATACAGAAGGAACCTTTCCCGGAGTTTCTCTGAAGTTTGGTATGAATCGGAGAAGCACGGGGTCATATACATCTGCTCAGTGAAGGGAGGCCCTTTTGCAGTCCAGAGCTGCTCAGAAACTTTAACCTAAATTATGCACCAGTTGAAAAGCCCTGTAGTGAGTGAACCACCACAAAAATAAATTGTCAGATGAAAACCACATATCCATCCGTTCCGTCCTGTGACTCAGAGTCAGGTATTCACACAAATTGCCAGTCAAGGCTGTGACAGTAGCACACAAGGGCTTCTGCGAAACTCAATCAGTTAGCAAAAGTGACCGTCCATACAGCAGCATCTAGATGAGTTTATTACGGTGTGCCTTTGATATCTAGAGAAATGGATGGAATGTTTAACTTTAAAATCAGTTGTGATGGCAACTGTTGTTAACAACAGCTTTGACTACTGGCTGGGGGACAAGGCTGATAGCGTCTGTTTAACTGGCAATGTCTGTTAACCAGAGGTGAAGGCTCTCTCATTAACGGATTTTTAAGGCTTAGCAGAATATTTAGAACTCAATAAATGTCTGCTGAGTGAATGAATGCACAATTAAAATGTCTTCAGTGGGCCGGGCGCGGTGGCTCATGCCTGTAATCCCAGCACTTTGAGAGACCGAGGCGGGCGGATCGCCTGAGGTCGGGAGTTCGAGACCAGCCTGATCAACATGGAGAACCCCTGTCTCTACTAAAAATACAAAATTAGCTGGGTGTGGTGGTGCATGCCTGTAATCCCAGCTACTCAGGGGACTGAGGCAGGAGAATCGCTTGAACCGGGGAGGTGGAGGTTGTGGTGAGCCGAGATTGTGCCATTGCACTCCAGCCTGGGCAACAAGAGCAAGACTCCATCTCAAAAAAAAAAAAAAAAAAGTCTTCAAAATTTTTAGCTGGATGACGACAGAGGGGAATCCAAAATTCCTTCCATTCTAAACACCAGAGGCCGCTTTGAGAAAATGTTCCTCCCACACTCACTTCTTTCCAGGCTCTCCATGAGTCCCGCCAGGGCCCATGGGCCTCTTTACCTCCAATAACTTCCCTTCTGTGACTCCAAACGCTGCTACCAGAATGTCAGCTTTGCAGGCCCCAGGCCTGTCCACCACAATCTCTTCTTCCTGGAATCTTGTACTTCAGCTGGAGCAAATCTTTGAACTCACCGATGCCTCAATCCATCAGCCTCATTCTTTCTCCTCACCCACTGTTATCTTCCCTAAGAAGATGAGTGGTTTCCCCTCCCTGCCCTTCCTACTGATGTTCCATAGAAATAGAGCCCCCAGGTTTATCTTGACAAATGACTGGGCAGAATAGATTCTCTATATTGAAGCTAACCATGAAGGAAAGTGTCATTTGATGGTTTCCAGGAATATCCCTTAAAACATGTCTTTTCCACTTCATTTTTGTGTCCCTTCTTATCCTGCTGCTTGGAACGTGGATGTGATGGCTGGTGCTCTGGGCGCCTCTTTGGGCCATGAGGGTAAAAGTTAGGGATGGCAGAGTCTGGGTGTCTCAGGAACACATGTACCTGGGCTGCCCTACTCTGTGTTGGTCACCCACCTCCTGATTTTAATGTGAAAGAAACAACAACAGGCTGGGTGCTGTGGCTCACATCTGTAATCCCAACACTTTTGGAGGCTGGGGAGGTTGGATCACCTGAGGTCAGGAGTTTGAGATCAGCCTTGCCAACATGGCAAAACCCTGTCTCTACTAAAAATACAAAAAAAAAAAAAAAAAAAAAAAAAAAGCTGGGTGTGATGGTGCACACCTATAATCCCAGCTACTCAGGAGGCTGAGGCAGGAGAACTGCTTGAACCCAGGGGGCAGAGGTTGCAGTGAGCCAAGATCGCACCATTGTAGTCCAGCCTGGGTGACAGAGTGAGACTCTGTCTCAAAAAACAAAAAAGAATAATAATAACAAAAACCCTTCAATTGTATTCAAGACCCTTTAGTTTTGGTCTTTGTTACTTGGAGAAGAACCTGATCTGATCCTAGCTGAAATATTATTCATCTCACCTTGCCCAACTCTCTCTGGCTGAACTCCCCTGGCAAATCCCAACCCTGGTCAAAATGTCATCCACACCCACCGAGGGTTAGCATTAGGGTTAGGGTTAGAGGTTAGGGTTAGGGGTTAGGGTTAAAGCTTAGGGGTTGGAGTTGGGGTTAGGGTTAAGCATTAGGGTTAAGGTTAGGGTCATAGTAAGGCTTCAGGGTTATGGTCAGGGTTTAGGGTTAGGGTTAGGTTTAGGGTTAGGGTTAGGGTTAGGGTTAGGATTAGGCTCCCAACCATGCCTGTAACTCAGCAGTGGAATCAGGAAGGGAAGGTAGCCTCCCCCTTCCTGCCACTGTGATGACAGCTTCACTTTGTTCAGGCCCTGATCTTAGGTGCACCCACACTCCCACCTGCAGCTCCCTGCACCTTCACTGTCTCTGCCTCACTCCACAGGCCTCCCCAACAGAGGTACACACTCTCTGCTAACAATCCTTCCTCACACTCCATTAGAAAGTGAAAAGATTTGTTTAGGAACATCCTGGTTTTTCCAACACTGTGACTGCCTGCACACGGCGTTGCTACCCTCACTCGTGCCTTCCTCGTGTCACTGTAAGTCGTCCTGCCCTCGGCAAAGGTCCTATCCTCCCCTTGCGTTTTCAGCCCAGCCAAGCGCTCCTTGTCTTCTCAAGAACGTGACTGATAATTTTCCTTCCCCTTCTGCAGGATGAGTGTCCCTCTTCTCTAGCATCACCATCTACAAACCCACGTGGCTTAGTAACCTCTGTCATTTAAACAAAACAGAGGAAGACCCAGTGTCACTGCACACACACCTCTCTCCACAGTCCCACGACTTTGCTAATCTTCATGCGCTCACCCCTTAGGGAATCACCTTTCCTTGTCCTCTCCGACCCCCCACCCACTCCAAAAGTCTGCTCTGGCCATGTCCCAGGGAAACTGCTCTGGCCAGCCAAGCCCCAGGGACACCACGATTCCAGAGCCAGCAGTGGCATCTCACTTCTGAATCTGCTTGACCTAGCAGCATTAAGCCCCTTGGTTGCTCAGTACCTTTCTCCTGAAACATTTTCGTCTCCTTCAGATTTTTCTCGCATGTGGCTGGCTACTCTGCAGTTTCCTGGTTCTCTTCCTGGATTTGTCTTCTGCAGAGGCAGGGACCTAGAGCACCATTCCCTTCTCTGTGCTGGGTCGCAGGGCCTTCAATACAGCTCTCTCTAGAGGCAGTCTAGAGTCCTGTTCCCCCAAATTCTGCGTGCTCGGATTTTACCACATACTTGTCACCTCCCTGGCTTGGTGTCTCCCTGAATGTCTTCTTCTCTGAGTTTTCTCAGTAAACCAGCTGATAATTTAATTTATCCTGGTCCCTCCCTCTTTCTTTTAGTCTGAATACTTAATCTTTGAGCAATCCTATCAACTTTGAGATCACACTGAGTCAGAGCCCTTCCCTGTAATGCTGATATCATGCCTTACTCGGAGTCACCGACATCTCTCTCGCCCGGGCTACAGAGCACTTTTCACAACCTTGTTCTCTGCTTGCCTTTTCCCTTCTTTTCCTGTCTGCCCGTCCCTGTCCCCCTTTCCTACATTATAAGCACTATGGGCACCTTCTTGCCCTTCCCCTCACCCCCCTCCATGGCTCTGGCATCTTGAGCAGCTCTGGGGAACCTAGTAGGCCTCAGTTTTTGTTCATGGAGTGAACAACAAATTAGTACATTGTGAAGTGCATCAACTGCGTCTTGGTCTCGAAGCCGGCCCAGCTAAAATGCAGCCTTTCCTGTGTTTTGGGGGCTATACAAGGAAGCTTGCAGTGGTTCAAAGAGTGATGCCATGAAATAGCATCGTCTGTGGGATTCTCTGGCCTCAGGCAAAGCGTGGAGAGGCAGCAGCAGGCTGGCAGCAGCTCTAGAAACAAAGGCAGAGGAGGCCTGTCACGTATCTTCCCTCCTTCCTTCCTTCCTTTCCTTGTTTCTTCCCTTTCCTTTCTTTCCTTTTTTCTCTTTCTTCCTCCCTCCCTTCCTTTCTGCCTGCCTCTCTCTCTTTTTCTTTCTTTCTTTCTTCCTTTCTTTCTTTCCTTCCTTCCTTCCTTCCTTCCTTCCTTCCTTCTTTCTTTCTTTCTTTCTTTCTTTCTTTCTTTCTTTCTTTCTTTCTTTCTTTCTTTCTCTTTCTTTCCTTTTTTTTCCACAGAGTCTCACTCTGTCACCCAGGCTGGAGTGCAGTGGCACGATCTGAGCTCACTGCAACCCACACCTTTCAGGTTGAAGCAATTCTCATGCCTCAACCCCCTGAATAGCTGGGGTTACAGGTGCACGCCACCACACCAGCCTCATTTTTGTATTTTTAGTAGAGATGGGGTTTCACCATGTTGACCAGGCTGGTTCGAACTCCTGAGCTCAAGTGATCTGCCCACCTCAGGCTCCCACAGTGCTGGGATTACAGGTGTGAGCCACTGCACGGGGCTGTGTCACGCATGTTCAACACGGGCCAACCGCGTGTGTGTTCAATGAGTTACGTTTTACACGACGCCGGCATTTGGGCCTTGAATTGATCATTTTCTCCTTTGTGTGCTTTTCTGCTCATTTGGGTTTGAAATTTATGGGCAGTCCTTCATCCTGTTTTACAAACATGTTGATTACGGCAGCCCCTTGCAAATGCGTTGTGAATTCTCCCTCCAGCAGCTAAAGCTTTCAAGTCAGGGCGTGGCCTTTTTATTGCTCTGAATTCCTTTTCAAAGTCAATTTGTCAAAAGAAATCAGCCTCAGTTAATCGAATTGTCCTTTTTATTCAATGTTTGATGTGTGGAATCTTTCCAGAAGCGTGGTAACATTTTGTTTTATTAGAGACTAGCTTCCACTACTGGTTTCAGAGAACTTTCCGGCTCCTTCCTCAGGAACTTGCTTTTAGATCGGCCGTGGAGACTTCAAACTCCAGGACTCTTAGCAAAGGGCATGTGAAGCAGCACCTGTTTTGCTGCCGCTGTGGACTCTCAGCTCCCTTTGATGTCTCCGTGTTCTTGGAAGTGTGTATCAGCTCCCCTGACGTCTTAGCGGCCTAGGACTGAGGGAGGAGAATCGCTCTATGAGAAACAGGGAACTTACCCCGGTTGAACAAGTGAACGACAAAAATCTCCTTAGCCGAGGAAGAGCAGCGTCTTTTAGCCATGCTTTCTCGGAGCCATGCTGTCGTGAGACATCCCAGCACTCTTCCTCTTCCCCTGGGATTCCAAGAAGTTTTTTTTTTTTTTTTTATTTCATTTTTTAATGTATTTCAGCTTAACTGAGGATTAATTGACAAATAAAAATAGTATATATTCAAGGTGTAGAATGTGATGTTTTGATATACATATACATTGTAAAATGATTACCCCAATCAAGCTAATTAACACGTCCACCACCTTCCCTTTGTGTATGTGTGTGTCGTGACAACACTTAAAATCTACTTTCTCAGCAAATCCCAAGTATACAGTACATTGTTGTAAACTATAGTCACCACGCTGAACCTTGGTTCTCTAGAATCCATTCCTCTTATAACAGCAAGTTTATGCCCTTTGATCAACAGCCCCCCATCCGCCCATCTCCTGGACCCTGGCAACCTCTGTTCTATTCTCTGCTTTTGTGAATCAGCATGTCTAGACTCCACATGTAAATGAGATCATGCGGTGTTTGTGTCTCTGCACCTAGCTTATTTCACCTAACATGATGTCCTCCAGGTTCATCCACGCTGTCACAAATGGGCAAGATCCTCTTCCTTTTTAAAGCTGAGTAATATTTCATGGTACACATATTTGTGCATACACATATCACAACAAGAAAAAAAAATTTTGTTGAGATGCAGTCTCGCTCTGTCACTCAGGCTGGAGTGCAATGGCACGATCTCAGCTCACTGTAGCTTCCGCCTCCCGGGTTCAAGTGATTCTCCTGCCTCAGCCTCCTGAGTAGCTGGAACTGCAGGCATGGCCACCATATCTGGTTAATTTTTGTATTTTTAGCAGAAACAGGGTTTCACCATGTTGGTCAGGCTGGTCTTGAACTCCCAAACTCAGGTGATCCTCCTGCCTCGGCCTCCCAAAGTGCTGGGATTACAGATGCGAGCCACCACACCAGCCAACAAGAATAATATTTGTGTCGGCAGAAAAACAGGGCAGAGTGTTCTCTAATATTTTCCACAGTTATATTTAAGAAACAGGTTTTGTGTTTTGTTGAAAGGTTAGAGAACAGTGATGAAACTACTAAATTTTCTGAGTGGAGGTTTGACAGAATATTTTGCTATGTGCATGGACACTTGCTGTCAATGGACGAGATATTAGGGTTCCTATGAAATTCTCTGTACAGTTGAGATACCTCCCTAACCAAATTCAGAGGTGCCGAGAGAGAGAGGGATCAAAAGAACTCACACCTGTCATCACAACACTTTGAAAGGCCAGGGTGAGAGGATCACTTGAACCCAGGAGACAGCCTGGGCAACATAGTGAGACCCCATCTTCACAAATAAAAACAAAAACTAAGAAACAAAGCTGCCTTACAGACTCCCTGGTTGGACAGATGGGAAAAGGGGCTCCTGTTGGGAGTGCAGAGCCCTGTGCACCTGCGGCCCTGCAGGGGGGAAGCTCTTGATTTAGGGGACCGCACACATCATTTCTCCTGGTTAGGTTACCAGTTCTGCCCAGTCCTCAGTTCCCCTTGTTTCTTCCCTAAATCATTCCCAGGCTGTCACTATGGCATACAGACTCCAAACTTGCAAACACATAACACGGTGCAGATACCTGCCCACGATGAAAGGGGCTTGCTTCTACCTACCACGTGAGCCTCTACAGGCCATAGCCTGTGCTGTGATGCTGTGATGTCAAGGCCTGGTAGGCTGGTGTCTTAGTCATGTGGGCTGCCGGAACAAAATACCGTAGACTGCATCTCAGCTTAAACAACACACATTTATTTCTTGCCATTCTGGGGCCTGTAAGTTAGAGATCAAGGCTCCAGCAGATCAGGTGTCTGGTGAGGGCCTGCTTTCTGCATCATAGACAGCCCTGCCTTCCCTTGGTGTCCTCACAGGGAGGAAGGGGTGAGGGAGCTCTCATGGGCCTCTCTTATAATGGCACCAATTCCATTCGTGAGGGCCCCACCCTCATAACTTCATCGCCTCCAGAGGCCTGACCTCCTGATACCATCACCTTGGAGGTGAGGATTTTGACCTATGCATTTTGGGGGAACACAAACATTTAGATCATGACAGGTGGTGTGGAACTGGGGTTCCTGGATTCAGGACAGTAAGGAGGCTCAGCAAGGCCTGAAGTGAAATTGGCTTTCTCTTTTTTTTTTTTGAGACGGAGTCTCGCTCTGTCGCCCAGGCTGGAGTGCAGTGGCTCGATCTCGGCTCACTGCAAGCTCCACCTCCTGGGTTCATGCCATTCTCCTGCCTCAGCCTCCCAAGTAGCCGGGACTACAGGCACCCACCACCACGCCCAGCTAATTTTTTGTATCTTTAGTAGAGATGGGGTTTCACCGTGTTAGCCAGGATGGTCTCGATCTCCTGACCTCGTGATCTGCCCACCTCGGCCCCCCAAAGTGCTGGGATTATAGGCGTGAGCCACCACGCCCAGCCTAATTTTTGTATTTTTAACAGAGACAGGGTTTTGCCATGTTGGCCAGGCTGGTCTCTATCTCCTGACCTCGTTATCCACCCGCCTCGGTCTCCCAAAGTGCTAGGATTACAGGCATGAGCCAGCACGCCCAGCCTGAAATTGGTTTTCTTTTGATACCTGGATACCTCTAAATCCTTTGGCTCTGACTTAGTCAGGACTATCCAAGGAAATCTACCACACAGGAAGTGATGGACTTCATCCTACTCATGAGAAGTAAGTACTTTTTAAAGTTTTCCTTCTGACGATGAAGGTCTCTCAAAGCCCATGACATTCTCCCAGCTCCCTACCAGCTTGGACTGTCTCACTTTTTATGCAAAAGGAATCTTTTGGCTCCCTTCTCAAAAGTAAGCTCTACCTGGACACAACAGGACACTGAGTCAGGGCCTCACTCTCACCACAGCTACACCATGAACTCTGCCCGGGACCGCAGGTCCCGTGGGTACATAACCATGACCAAGTTGGCCACAAGCACCGTGAGTATGGCGTGGGTCGCCCTCTTCCCTGTCTCCCTGCTGGACACCCACCCACCCCTTAGCGCCTGCAGAGAAGTCCCCCCAGGAGTCCAGGCCTGGGTCCCTGTGGCCCTGGGGGGTTTGTGGCGACCCCAACACGAGCTCTCTGCGACTGCACGCACAGGTATGCAGCCCAGGCAGCCCTTCCGTGAGCTCTTGGACTGGGGCTCATCCATCGCTGCACCTGTAACACTGGGCATTTTTCCCTGTAAACAGGAGACATCAGTTTAATAAGCATTGATTTCATTTAACAAGTTTGTATTGAGTAATCTCTGTGCACCTCAGTCCTAGGAATACGGCTGAAAAATGGTAAAAAAGCATCCAGGCAGTTGTAAATTGACATTCGAATCTAATTTGCATTCTGATCAGTAAGTAAATTAATATGCAAGTGAGCAATTTCAAATACATTATGAAGAAAAACCAACAACGTGATAGATTGGGATGGAGGGTGGGGGTGGGAGCTGTTTTTGATGGAATATTTGGGGGGATGCTTCTCAGAGTCTGAGTGAGATGTGGGCAGAGAGAAGGAGCCAGCCAAGTGGGAGATAAGAAAGGGTTTTCCTGCTGAGGGGGCCTCTAGAAGCCCTAAGCCAGGATCAGCTTGGAATGTTCCAGAAACAGAAAGGATGTCAGTGTCCCTTGAGAGCTCAATTGGGGAGTGGAGAGAGATAGATGAGTTTATAGACAAAAGGCTTCACACCTGCCTTCTCGGGGGTCCAGGGGGGATCTTGAGGGTCCAGGAAGAAGTGTGTGGCTTACTTGAAGAAAATGGGAAGCTGTGGAGGGTTATAAATGGGAGGGATATAATTTTTTTAGGTTTTGCAAAGGACACACTGGATGCAACATATTAGGAGAGAAGAGGTTGACATGGATGGACATTTTTGAACTGATGTTAAAATAAAACATTTGATTCCTTTTTCTGTACCTTTATGAATGCAGATGAACATACCCATTGTATGAGTCCATTCTCATATTGCTATAAAAAAATACCTGGGACTGGGTAATTTATAAAGAAAAAGGTTTGATTGGCTCACGGTTCCACAGGCTGTACAAGAAGCACAGTGGCTTCTGCTTCTGGGGAGGCCTCAGGAAACTTACAATCATGGCAGAAGGCAAAGGAGAGGCTGGCACATCTTACATGGTTGGAGCAGGAGGAAGAGAGAGCAACGCGGGAGGTGCCACACATTTTTAAACAACCAGATCTCACAAGAACTCACGACGGGGATGACAGCACCCAGGAGGATGGTGTTAAACCATGAGAAGCCACCCCCACAAGAACTCACATAGGGACGACAGCACCCAGGAGGATGGTGTCAGACCATGAGAAGCCAACCCCACAAGAACTCACGATAGGGATGACAGCACCCAGGAGGATGGTGTGAGACCATAAGGAGCCACCTCCATGGCCCTGTCACCTCCCACCAGGCCCACCTCCAGCATTGGGGATTACCTTTCAACATGAGATTTGGGTGGGGACACAGAGCCCAACCATATCACCCCCTCCTGTCTTGAAATGCCAGGGCTCCCTCCCCAGCCCCACCTGAAGGCAAAGTTCTAGAACCACCCTGAGACAATGAGCCAGTTGCTTCAAATTGAGCATGAAACCACTCAGCGTCCAGAGCAAAGGAAATACATAAAGTGCCTAAATTGGCCTAATGGGATCTTAGTAATCAAATATATCATCATCTGTACATTTTCCATATTACGGTGGGAACACTTTGTAGCCAGCCTAGCTCCCCTCCTGTTCCTGTTAGAATTTTGTTCTTAGAATAAATTTACATCCGTCCCCTGGTGCCAGGGTTCAGGCTGTGTTGCACTTTTCATTATAAGCCATGTTTACCGAAGGTTTACAACTTGGCTGTAAAAACCGGTTGGCACCGAAACTGGAAACTTGGCATGAACAAATTGGCATAAACATTGGCCGGAAGCAGTTTTTCTATCTAAATCTGAGAAAAACAGACTAGGTCATTTTCAAGTTATTTGTGTTATTCATGCATAAATAAAATGAAGCTTGACAGCTTCAAACAGTTGTTTGCTTTTGCGCTCTTCAAAAATAGATTGGATCCAAGAAAAGTAACATTTGGTAAACAAATACTCCATGACGGACTGTAGAAAAAACGAAAGGAAAAAAGAGTGGAGTGCAGTACATTAAATAGAAAGGGAAGATGGAAGCGTTTCAAAAGTCACTTTGTGTCAGAAAGTGGAGTCAGGAAAGGTATTATTAGGTGATTATGTGGTTTCTAGAGGCAAATTTAGAGATTCCTCTGGACTCTAAATTAATAGTGTAAACAAGCAGAGAGCAAGCTTTCAAATAACATAATTTATTTTTTTGAGATCTGAAGCACATCTAAACAACACAAGCTAACTAAATAGATGATGTTCAGGCAAGGAAGAACCAAGTGATTTCTAAATATGTTTTCTAACAGCAGTAGGCTTGGCCTGTAAAACAAACAAACAAAAAGTTTAAAAACTGGGGGAAGAAAAAAACAAAATATAAATGATATAGTAAAACATCTTGGTTGAAAACAATAGCATCAATGTCTGATCTTTCCGCTCATCTATGTATCGAATTAAGTTTAGAAATGCAATTTGTGGGTTTTGAATTCCAGCAGCCAGTAGCAGCTCTCTAAAGAGGGAAAGTGATGGTGCCGACCGCTCCCCAAAGAATGCCTTTTTGGCAAATTTAAAAGTCAGCCTTGACGTCAAGTGACTCCTGAGAAGGCTCCGCATTGAGTTCTGTGAAGCGTGGGCAGATCGGACTTTCACTCTCAAAACTCTGTCGGGGGATGACTACAGACACAGTTTAGGGCAAAATAAAACCAAGCCAATTCAAACAGAAAGTAAAAATAAGTCAGAGAGGAAAGAATGTGGAGGATGGACCAGGCCTGCTGGGGCCCGCGCTCTGTAACAAGCGCCCCTTGGGGAAGGAGTTGTCTCACAGGCTTGCTTTTTATTGATGTTCCTTCCTAACGGTTGTTAGCAGCAGTTAAATCCATATGGTTGTTCTTGGCAAAATGGATCTTGTCCTCTATTTGTAAAGTCTTGTTTCACCAAACTATAGGCAGAGTAATAGAATTCTATCATTGGAAGTGGAAGAATTTTCCACCTGGGGATTTCACCTGAATGGCACCTTTGGCCATTACCTGGCTCTTAGGATCAGCATGGTTCCATCCACGTGGTAATTCAAGCTAACAATTATCTTGGGACACATCTCAAAACTATTAACTCCCCAGAATGATCCACAGTGTTGATTCTCGGGTGGATGCTCCCAGTGTTTCCTCCTTCAGAGAAAGCTATGAAATCACTTGTTCACCCTAATATCAAGATTGTTCCAGCTGGTTGCAGTGGCTCACGCCTGTAATCCCAGCACTTTGGGAGGCTGAGGTGGGCGGATCACATGAGGCCAGGAGTTCGAGAGTAGCCTGGGCAACATGGCGAAACCTGGTCTCTACTAAAAATACAAAAATTAGCTCAGCATGGTGGTGCCTGCCTGTAATCCCAGCTGCTCAGGAGGCTGTGACAGGAGAATCGCTTGAACCCAGGAGGCAGAGGTCAAAGTGAGCCGAGATCGCGCCAGCCTGGATGACAGAGCAAGACCCTGTTTCAAAAAAAGAAAAAAAAGAAAAGATTGTTCCGATAGCAACTATAGCAATGCCATGTCATTGAGGATTCCAACTTGTCATGTGCTTCCTGGATAGGGTTTTACACCCTAGAGAGTTCTCTTCCACATTGAGAAGTATGAATAAACACATGCAATGACTCCATTGACACTATTCTTTAGAGATGAAGAAATTAAAGACCTAGGGCACACTATCGGGGTTCCACAGACCAGAGACAAAACAACTCAGCAATTAACAGGCCTCACAGAAACGAGTTTGGGAACCCCTCAGCATTTCTGCAGAATTTGCAGTTATTTCTAAGTATATTCCCTCCAGGTGCACGGTTAGCTAATCTTACCAGTCCCATAGATTCCTTGAGGGACTGGTTTACATCTTATTTTTGTATTCAGTTCCTAACACGGTGCCTGACACTCCAGGGCTTCAGCAAAATACTGATGCTATGATATGGGTAAGCGTTTCTATCTATAAATAGAGAGAGAGAGAGAGAGAGAGGTGTTTTGGTTTTGTTTTCTTTTAACAGACTGGGGAAGAAAAATGTTTGGAGGCTAAAATAAAATTTGCACCAATCAGCGTAAATGAGTGAGTTGTCTGGAAATGCCACATTGTAGATCTGAAATGCCATTATCTACAGGGAGCAGGTGCCCTCAATTGGGGACTTGATACAGTTTGGCCGTGTCCTCACCCAAATATCATCTTGAATTGTAGCTCCCATAATTCCCATGTGTTTTGAGAAGGACCTGTTGGGAGATAATTAAGTGATGGGGCCAGTTTCCCCCATAATGTTTTTGTTTGGACACTATGATCAGAGAGAACTGATGACTTCTACAACAGTCTGCTCTTCAGCTCAATATTCCACCACCAACAGACCTTGGGTTTTGGGGAGTTAATGGGGCACTCAGATGATTGCTGATGGAAACTCCAGGGGAAGTAAGGGTGGGGAAGAAGTGTAGCTTGTAAAAGATTTCCCATCTTTTAGTCCTAAACTTTCAACTGGGGGAAGAATATTACATTTTAAATCCAACCCACAGAAAGGAAAATTCATCAAAATCTCCAAGCCGAATGGGATCTGCGACCCTTTCCATGAAGACTGATCAGATAGGCCTGGCGCAGCTTTCTGCTCTGCTCCCAAGAGCTGTGCAATGTGTGGTCCTTGGGCCATTCCTGCTGCATAAATGTGCATTCTTTGTATTGGAACCCAGAGTGTAGGAACTAGTCGCTTTGACAGAGAATGAGGCTGGCCCTGCATCCATGTTAGACATTGCTATCCTTTTCTTAAGGTTTCTTCATTGTTACATAGTACATCTTGGGAAAGGAAACAGAAAGCTAACTGCAGTGTTAATTCTTGGAACTGGCATGAAAACGAAGAGGAGAAGTGACACAGCGAAAGAGCTTACGTTTGGGAATCAAAGACCTGGATTCATTTTCTACCTCTGTACTTGCAGGATTTGTGCAAGATTTTGACCAATTACTTAACGCATCTGAGCCCCAAGGATCCTGACCATAAAATGAGGCTACTTCTTCCTACCTCTGGACAATGTACGGATTGGCTGGGGGGCAGAAGAAATTGCCCTGGATGTCCTCTTTCCTTTCTGGTGCCTATCTTCCCCACCAGCAAACTCGGCGGCCTGGACCTCCAAATGTATCCTGACTCCGAGCTGGGTGATTTCTTTTTCTTCCGAGCCACAACCATCTCCATTCTGGACGGCATCCATGTGCTCCGAAAGCTCTCCTGCTTCCTCTCAGACTTCCCAACCATCTCTTCCCCAGGGCACCCGTGGGATCCAACGGCATGAACCTCATCACCTTATGCCTACTGAAGGCCCTGCTTGTCTTCCTAATGCTCTGCAGACAAAAGAACCCATGAACACCCAAGCAGAGGCTGGGCCCTGCCCGGTTCTGGCCTCCCTCACCCCTCCCCTCTGCCCATGCCCCCCCACCCTCCCCTCTGCCCATGCCCCCCCACCCCTCCCCTCTGCCCATGCCCCCCGTCACCCCTCCCCTCTGCCCATGCCCTGCCCATCCTGACCTTACGCCTTCAACTGCCCTGAAACACACCAGGTGCCCTCTGGCCCCCTCTGGCGCCAGCTTCCCCTGCCCCCAGCCCTTGCCACAGGCCTCCCATGCCTGGCGCTCCCAATGTTTACTTCTCATGTAGAATTTCTCCTCCTTGGAGACGTGAGATTGAGTCTTAATCTTTCAAACCAAAGGAGCCTCCACACCTCTCTCCCCACCAAATGCTTTATCCATTTCCTTTGTATCACTCACCTGAATTCTGTTTGTATTTGTCAGTGCCCCCAGAATGAAAGTGCAGGGCCCTACATGAGCCCAGAAGCTGCTCTTCCCCGAAAGTCTGGGAGAGAAGAGGCTCCTGGAGGTTTGTGAAGCCCACCTGCATGGCAGGTGTGACAGCCGGCAGGGCCCCTCCTGCACCCCGTCCCTGTGCCCCGCCTGGTGCCATGAAACCACTGGACAACTATGAGACGATTGAGCTCGTTATTATAAAATCATCACGTTTTTCTACTATAAACTTATAGTAATATTCCAGTTTAGACAGAATGAAGAGCATCCAGAGGAACTGAACAATGAGCTCCTGAGATGGACCGTGATTCCTGCGTGTGGCTTGGGTGTCGCATGGCAAGATGTGCACACGAGCAAGCGACGGTGAATTGTGAACGCTTCTGGCAAGTGCTCTGGCTGGACTGTATTTTCAGAGCTTTGTAAATCACCTAATTCCTTTTGCATAAGAACATTAATGATGCGAGGAGGCCAGTTACATTTTCAGTTATACTTTGTTGCATTTTAGAGGGAAATTATCTATCATGGTTAAATTTGCAAAGCTGGGTATTGCCAAAGGTCATGGGGATTTGTGCCCCACAGCAGGAAAGGCACACAGTAGAGCCAGCTCTTTACTGCCTGTCTGAAGGGTGACTTGGTCTGTTACCTGGTTTTGGTGGCATCCCCAGGTTCACAGCCAGTCTGCCTCACTTCCCCTTACTGGGTGCGTGGCCTGTGGACAGAGGGTGAAGACACAGATGTGGAAGTGATGGAATCTCAGCCTCGAGACACCCTGCACCAATGCCGGACAGGATGAGAGAGTTGTAGGCAGGAACGAGTCCAGCCAGGGCTGCGGGAATGACTCTCAGGATGTGACACAGCTTTCCATATCACAAAATACAGGAGAAAGCTGTGCTTTGGGTGGTACAATTTACGAGGGGTCCAATCTGTTAAATGTAGAATGCTTCAGTCTTATTTCTTGGCTGCTTTCTCACAAGAAGAGCTCAAGGATCGCCACCTGGCAAAGCTAAGACAGACGTTCATCTTCCCTCTCATCTGAGCCGGCCGGCCCAGGAGGAGCGAGTGAAGTGGCATGACTCCGAGTGCTTGGAGGAAAGGGCCAGGCATGCTGCTGGGGGCTCCACAATTGAACCCAAAACCTACTCTCCTCATCTGTTTTGTGTTGCTTAGAATACCTGGACCTGGGTAATTGAGAAGAAATAAAATGTATTTCTTATGGTTATGGAGGCTGAGAAGTCCAAGATGTGAAGGGCCACATCTGTTGAGGGCCTTTTTCTTGGTGGAGCCCCTCTCTGCAGAGTTCCAAGATGGCGCATTGCATCACATGGCGAGGGGCTTGAGAGTGTTAATGTGTTAGCTCTGGTCTCTCTTCCTCTTCTCACACAGCCACCAGTTCCCCACTCATGATAGCCCATTAATCTATTAGCCCATGAAAGTATTAATCCACTGGCCCAGTGCAGTGGCTCATGCCTGTAATCCCAGCACTTTGGGAGGCCGAGCTGGGCAGATTGCCTGAGGTCAGGAGTTCGAGACCAGCCGGGCCAACATGGTAAAACCTCTTCTCTACTAAAAGCACAAAAATTAGCCAGGCGTAGTGGTGCACGCCTGTAGTCCCGGCTACTCTGGCGGCTGAGACAGGATAATTGCTTGAAACTGGGAGGTGGAGATTGCAGTGAGCCGAGATCACATCACTGCACTCCAACCTGGGCGATAGAGCAAGACCCCATCAGAAAGAAAGAAAGAAAGAAAGAAAGAAAGAAAGAAAGAAAGAAAGAAAGAAAGAAAGAAAGAAAGAAAGAAAGGAAGGAAGGAAGGAAGGAAGGAAGGAAGGAAGGAAGGAAGGAAGGAAGGAAGGAAGGAAGGAAGGAAGGGAAAGAAATGGAGAAAAAAAAGAAAAGTATTAATCCACTCATGAGAACAGAGCCCTCTTGACCTAATCACCTCTCAAAGGCCCCACTTCTAAATACTGTGGCCCTGGGGATTGAATGTCAACATGAGTTTTGGAGGGGACAAATATTCAAGCCACAGCGCCTTCCTGCTTCTTCTCCCACCCGCCATTCCTTGGCAGGTGTATCAGGCTCATAACTCATGGCTCAGTTTCTTCAGGCTGTTTCTTCAAGCTCTGATGCCACCCCCTTCCAGCTCAGCCTCCAGGGCTCTTGCCAAATGTCATAGGTGCAAGGGCATCTTTCCTGAGCCTCCCCTGGAATGGAGGCATTAGCCTCCTTTTAGCCTCCAAGCATGTTGCTGCCTTTGGATTCCGGCCCTCATGAGATTCTCACCGTTCCTCGGCCACCCTGGTTACGCAGGCCTTCCTAGCATATAGTGTCAGGAAAAGCGAGGCTTGATACCAAGCCTAGCACTCATAGATGCCATCCCCCAGCTCCCAAAGGCTCTCCCCATCCCAAGTACTCGAAGACTTCCTTTCAGTCATGGAATTTCCTTCTACAACAGCTTCCTCCTGCACTGTGGATATAGGTCATGTTTACACATTTCCTTCTGCAGGCTTGTAAATGTCCTGTGCACAAAAACAGGCCTCATTTGGTTCCTTACAGCACCTAGGATGATATTTAGTGCATAATTGTGTTCAATAAAAGTTAGTTGAGAAAATATGAAATGAAGTAGGGGAAGAGCTCATTCTCTTTAGGACTAAGCCGATATGTCTTTCCTACCCCAAGAAAGAAATATTTTTGCCAAACTATTTCAACATGAATTAATCAATCATGATTCATAATTTATGCAGTTCTTCCTAGATAGATCCAATCAAATCAAAGTCTCATTTCTTTTAATGTAGCAGGACACAGTTGACACCAGTATGCTGCACCTAAGGAAAGGCAAATGGTCTGGAGGGAATACATGCACAGACATAATTTTTTTTTTTTAAACGGAGTCTTGCTCTATTGCCCAGGCTGGAGTGCAGTGGCAGGATCTCGGCTCCCTGCAAACTCCGCCTCCCGGGTTCACGCCATTCTCCTGCCTCAGCCTCCAGAGTAGCTGGGACTACAGGAGCCACCTGCCACCACGCCCAGCTAATTTTTTGTATTTTTAGTAGAGATGGGGTTTCACCATGTTAGCCAGGGTGGTCTCGATCTCCTGACCTCGTGATCCGCCTGCCTCGGCCTCCCAAAGTGCTGGGATTACAGGCGTGAGCCACTGCGCCTGGCCCAGACATGATTTTTAAAATGAGCCTTCTACTCTTTCTCACCCCTCCCTTTCTCCTTCTCCTGGTCCCAGCTCATTCCACCCAACAAGTTGACTTTCTATCAAACAGTCTGTCACTTGAAAGGAGGCAGGATTTCTATATTTACTTGGGAATCTACAGACTATAAAAAGCCCTTTATTTTGACTGGTAGCAAGCCATTTGCTATATTTATAATGCATGATTGCCATTTTTCTGCAGGTATTCTTTTCTCCATTTAGAGTAACATCCTTCAGAACTCCAGTGTCTTATCTTTGTGTCATCCAGAGCGCCACGTAGAGTGACTGTGAAGTCAACAGTTGGGTAAATTGCATTCATCAATTTTAAATGTCATTGTGATATATCTTTTCAATATGTGTAATAACATATAAAATACACATGGAATCTAGTTACAGTCAAGTTGACAGTCTCTCATGGGGACAATTTAAGTATTAAAAGCTATAAATATATATTTACTAGTCCTTTATTTTGCTGTTGTGTATTTTGGTAGTTTCTCTTACAATTCTCTTAATAACTGCTTTAGTCTCTGAGCATAATAAGTGTCATATATTTATTTATATATTTGTATTTTTTCATTGTAAACTCAGTTAAAACATAAAGGAATCAGGGCAAAAGCAAGACAAAACTTTTTCTGTTGAAATGCAGATAAGCAGATAACATAAACCCAGACCAAAATGCACCTTATATGCTATTATGTGCACAGTTAATGCTGCTTGCACGGGATGTGGAACAGCCAGGCACTGGGCCAGCTCTATGAAGATGGGTGGTTATCACCAGATATTGCTGGACTTAAAATAGTATAGTGTGTCTGTGTGTGTGTGCGTGCGTGTGTGTAAGTGTGCACATACAGGCTGAGGTATGTGTTTATTTTTCTGGAAAAATAATCAAGAAAAAG
This sequence comes from Homo sapiens, assembly GCF_000001405.40. Lineage (NCBI taxonomy): Eukaryota > Metazoa > Chordata > Mammalia > Primates > Hominidae > Homo > Homo sapiens. The sequence continues at coordinate 3,928,108 of NC_000010.11, read as the reverse complement.
CAACAATTTTGGGGGAAGAATGTGATGAAGGGAAAAGTTTATTTTATAGCTGTCTAGTCTGCTTAAATGTTCTATGTGAAGGTCACTTATTGTTAACCATGAAAAAAAGTCAGTCCAAGTTATCTTGGTGCAATCAAAATCACACTTCTTTACACGCCTCTGTATTTTAAAATCAACTAAAATTGATGGTGTTTTGGGGGGTTTTGTTTTGAGACAGAGTCTTGCTCTGTCTCCCAGGGTGGAGTGCAGTGGCACCATCTTGGCTCATTGAAGCTTCTACCTCCTGGGTTCAAATGATTCTTCTGCCTCCGCCTCCCGAGTAGCTGGGACTACAAGCGAGTGCCACTACGCCTAGCTAATTTTTGTATTTTTAGTAGAGATGGGTTTTTGCCATGTTGGCCAGGCTGGTCTTGAACTCCTAACCTCAAGTGATCCTCTTGCCTTGGCCTCCTGAAGTGCTGGGATTTCAGGAGTGGGTCACCACACCCAGCCCTAAAAACAAGTTATTTTAAAATAACTAAGTTATGACCTATTTGGGGCTTTGATTAATAGATAAATATATGAATGTAGAGAATGTACTTAAATCTTACACATTCTTTTAACACCTTTCCTGTACTTTATAGGTTGGCATCGCTATTTCCACTGACTTGCTGAATATTCTGTAGCATGAAGTAGAGAGTTTCTTTGCAGATCTTCTATGCTGGTGCGGGATGTTCTACATTCTTCACCAGGTGCGGGCAGTGGGCAGGCCACCATGTGCTCTAAGCACCCAGCATAACTGAGCCAGCCCTGCTGCTGAAGGGAATCCCAGGAGACAAAAATCACCTGCTTTGGTTGCTGGCACCTTCATCACCCAGGAATTTTACAGTTAGTGTGCTAACTGCTCCGAAGCTTATCATCATCTTTACAGTCACCTACCACTTTACAGATGCGGGAAGGAAAATACGAGCTCAGACACACCGCCAGGTCAGGGAGGCGTCTTTGCTGACTGCCGTCAGAGGGCCCAGCTGCAGCTTTGCCAGGTGAATTTTCTTCTCACCCACAAGAATTTTAAAAAGCAAAGACGGAGATGCCCACATCTAGAAAAAGAGCTTGTTGACATGCACTCAGGGTTTTCGTGAGGAATGAATCGTGTTGGGAAATCCCTGCCTACTGGCCACCTTATCTATGCTCCCAGCACTGAAAACTCTGAGAATTTTCTTCCGCTGCCAATTCCAAGAATGTAGCACATTGCATCACGTCCATTCTCAAAACGAAGGCCCACCCGTGGGAATAATTTAGAATATGCTGCAATGGGAGGGGGGCGAGTTTGGGAGGGTAACGGTTTTGGGAAACTGTTATTTCTTTGAAAAAGATGATGTGATGTTTCAGGCAATTTTGGCAATGCATTACTATTTCAAATCTCTTTCCACCTAAATGTGCCAATGGTGCCTCAGACATATTAATTCTGGAGATCTTCTTTGTTAAAAGGAAGGTAAGCCATCCTATCTCGTTACCAAAACCACAAAGTTTTGGGATAAAAGGAGTGATGTAAAACAGCCCCAATGCCTCCTCTCCTAACAGCAGGGGTCATATCCACCTCCTCGTTATGATCGCTTTAAAATTACAGAATTCATGCAAAGTGCACAGAACAGCAGGTGGCCAATGCCTCTTTGTCTACCACAAAGAACAACACCAACAGTAACAGCCTCTTAGTGGTATGATCTGAGATTTGAAAGAGCTTGGGAAAAAAGACAGTTGTGGAGGGAATTGTGGATGATTCAAAGTGTCTTGCTCTACCACATTCCTCTCCATGTATCCATATTTATAATTATTCCGTGACACATTTCAGATGGTTTTCATTCATGAAGCTCTCTGCAATGTACACCACGTACGTAAGAATTATAAAGGAAGGAGAAGAACTCAGACTGGAGAGTATATATACATATATAATAAGATATATATGGCCAAGGCGGGCAGATCACAAGGTCAGGAGATCGAGACCATCCTGGCTAATATGGTGAAACCCTGTCTCTACTAAAAATACAAAAAAAAAAAAAAAATTAGCCAGGCATGGTGGCATTGCACCTGTAGTCCCAGCTACTCGGGAGGCTCAGGCAGGAGAATCACTTGAACCCGTGAGGTGGAGGTTTCAGTGAGTGGAGACCAGGTCAGTGCACTCCAGCCTGGGCAACAGAGTGAGACTCTGTCTCAAAAAAAAAAAGATATATAAAAATCATATATTTGTAATATATAATAATATAAAATAAGGAGATAAGTAATTCAAGTTGATAAAATGCATTTATTCCATTAAAAATATTATTATAATTAGGATTCAGTTTTTACTGATATCTCCATTGCTGGCACTAAAACAAACCTCTGGACCAGTATAAACTAATTCAGAATTATTTTTTGCTTGCTTCCTCAAAAGATGTCTTTTCCTCTTTCTGCATTGCAGCTGCCTGTCTCTGGGTTCCTGGCTCCTGTGTGGTGACAACCCCTTCCATCCCATGCCTCCCGGTGAATCCCAGCCTCTCCAGTTCTTAGTCGGCCTGGCCCTCGAACTCTGACTGCAAGCCTGTGGCTCTCCTGGATTCCACATTCTAGGACCTGGAGTTTCTTCACATTTCACTGGCTGAACCCCACAGCACTCCGTCCCCTTTTCATTGCTATTGCTCTACTGTTTCCTGTGGTCCCTGATTATGTTGGGCCTCTCAGAGGCTTCGGGTAGACTTTTCTACTAGACTGTGAGGCTGTGGCCATCTGCATGTACAACACAGGAAGGCCTTGTGGTGATTACAGTCATGAAAACTTTTGTCCCAGCACATAGGCTGAAGGATAATTTGACATGAGGGTGAGATTTGACTCCATTTAATTGGACATTAAATGAAACACATAGCATGCCTTTATTTGGTATTTAAATTATATGTTAGAGAAAATACTTTACATGCTGGGTGCAGTGGCTGACGTCTGTAATCCCAGCACCTTGTGAGGCCAAGGCGGGTGGATCAGTTGAGGTCAGGAGTTTGAGACCAGCCTGGTCAACATGGTGAAACTCCGTCTCCAATAAAAATACAAAACTGTCCAGGTGTGGTGGCACACACTTGTAATCCCAGCTACTCAGGAGGCTGAGGCAGGAGGATCACTTAAACCCGAGAGGTGGAGGTTGCAGTGAACTGAGATCATGCCACTGCACTCCAACCTGGATGACAGAGCAAGACTCTGTATCCAAAAAAAAAAAAAAAGAAGAAGAAGAAGAAAATACTGTATATTCTGTATATTCATAATATTTTTGTCTGACATTTGACATTTTGAGTATCTGGTATTATAATTCTATCATAAACAGTGGCCCAAGAACCTACATGGAACTTAGGAAGCTTTTTCCCCATAGAAATATAAAGTTATTTACAAATTAACCTTTAACATCCATCAGTTTGTACACTGGGAACTGATTTTACACAATTTTTACTCTGACCCACAGGTCAAAAGCGACATCATCACCTCCTGAAGGCAAGTCCACACTGGGCCCCAGGAGCTGAGCTGCTGCTTTTCCGGTTGACACATTTCCTCACATGCTTCCATCAATTCTTTCTGTGGTCACCACACTCCATGTTAATTACCACATCCTTTGCCTTGCCTGTGTTGGATTCTATTAGTGGCTCAGCCTAAACTCTAGACAAAATTGAGTCATCCCGCTCTACTCTGACATGGGATAGTCAAGAACAACTATGTGGAGACCGTATTTGGCGATTCCATGATATTAGAGACAGAAGCTTGGGCTGGGGGGAAGAACAAGCCATTTCAGCAGTGCCCTTCCCTTTCCTTCCTTGAGGAATTCTTATCAATGTGAGGTCATTAATACCTGAAAGACCAAGAATAAAATAGGGGTTTTGGAATGAGGTGCCAGGCAGGTAGGAAGAAAGGGTTGGAAATGTTGACACAAGCCCCACCCAGCTCATCAAGGGAGCACATTTGGGTTTGAGCCCAAAGCTCTCAACAGATGAAACCCCATCTCTACTAAAAGTACAAAAATTAGCCAGGCATGGTGGTGAGCGCCTGTAATCCCAGCTACTCAGGAGGCTGAGACAGGAGAATAACTTGAACCCGGGAGGCAGAGTTTGCAGTGAGCCAAGATGGCACCGGTGCAATCCAGCTTGGGTGACAAGAGCAAGACTCCGTCTCAAAATAAAGAAAAAAAGAAAGAAAGAAACCAGCTGGGCATGGTGGCTCAAACCTATAATTCCAACACTTTGAGAGGCTGAGGTGGGCAGGTTGTCTGAGGTCAGGGGTTTGAGACCAGCCTGGCCAACATGGTGAAATCCTATCTCTACTAAAAGAACAAAAAAATTAACTGAGCATGGTGGCATGCACCTGTAATCCCAACTACTCAGGAGGCTGAGGCAGGAGGATCACTTAAACCCGGAGGCAGAGATTGCAGAAAAAATAAATAAATAAATAAAAAGAAACCATTTCTGGAGTGGCCTCTCTCCATGCATCCCTCAAGAACCCACAGAAAATGATCAAGTTGGGGGTTCTGCATCCAAGCCCACCCTCTCAGCTTCTTGCTTTCTGCCTTAGATAAGACTAAAAGATCACAACATGGCAGTACTCCTTGGAAAATACTTAATAAATACATAGAAGTGTGCAGGGCAGGGCAGCCAAGGTCTGGACATCCCAAGTCTATGCCGTGAAATAGTTCAGAATAATCATTCCAAGACTCCCACAAACACACAGCAGAACTGAGATGAACACTGAGTTTCCACGATTGTTACAAACAACAACCAGCTGTGGGACATGGCTGGTTCCCTCTTCCTTACGGTGCAAGGGGCACCATTCCTCAGCCTTAGATATCAGCCTGTTATTCCAGCAGCCAAGCACTAGTGCTTCACCTCGGCAGGTGCACTTCCATACCCACAGGTCAGCCAGTGACCCAGCCTGGACAGATAAATGCCCTAAAATGGGTGAGGATTGGTAAGAAAGCAGGAAATCATCTTTTCTTGAGATCCAGGAACTTTGCAGGGGCTGCCTTTTCTACTACGCAGAGAAAGCATGTCTGAAGATGAAGCCAGCATTATGTGAAGCAGAATTGCAAGACACACACTGAAAAACAGAATTCCAGTAATATTATTGAGCTCCTGGGTTTGGCAGTACCTAAGGACAGCCCACTCCTGGGACTGCTACCTTACCTGAGCCCCTTTGGTTTATTCTAACATGATGACCGGGTGTGGTGGCTCACGCCTGTAATCCCAGCACTTTGGGAGGCCAAGGTGGGAGGAACACTTGAGGTCAGGAGCTTGAGACCAGTCTGGCCGATGTGACAAAACCCCATCTCTCTTAAAAGAAAAATACCCCCAAAAAAATATTAGCCAGGCATGGTTGTGAGTACCTGTAGTCTCAGCTACTCAGAAGGCTGAGGCAGGAGAATCACTTGAACCCGGGAGGTGGAGGTCGCAGTGAGCCGAGATCGTGCCACTACACTCCAGCCTGGGCAATGGACTCCATCTCAAAAAAAAAAAAAAAAAAAGCTGTATTTCTGCTACTTATCATTCTAAGATTCCTGACTACTGCTCCACAATTTTTTGAAATAGCATGTTTTAGAAATCATATAAAAACAAAAACTGCAGGCTATATTCACAAAGGGTCACTATCAATCATGCAAACTGCCTCTTATCCATTTATCCATCAGTTCTTAATTTCATGACAGAAAATTAATACCTTATTTTTGAAATAACTTTTAGTTCTTGTAAGGGTCTTCTAATTAAATCCTTATGCAATGCAACTGAAATAACACCAGAAACACGTGGATTTGTCAAGTAGTCAATGTGTATTTTTATAGCACTTTAATTTTTTTTGTACTCAGGCTGATAACGCTGGGTAGTTTTCTCTTTAAGCAAAAATAGCAGGTGAGAGCTGTGTACTAACAAGATGAAATCGCCATATCAGCCATCAGTTCTAGATGGCATGAATCCACACAGACCCTATGACTTAGAGAATATGAGGTGCCTAATTCAAGACGGGGGTTCATCTACATACAGAGAGGGAGGAGGTTATTCAGAAAAAGGAACATTTTCTTTTCTTCTCTTTTCTTTTCTTTCCTTTTCTTTTTTGAGATGGAGTTTCACTCTGGTCTCCCAGGTTGGAGTGCAATGGCGTAATCTTGGCTCACTGCAACCTCCACCGCCCAGGTTCAAGTGCCTCAGCCTGTCTCAGCCTCAGCCTCCCGAGTAGCTGGGACAACAAGCACACACCACCACGTCCAGCTAATTTTTGTATTTTCAGTAGAGACAGGGTTTCGCCATGTAGGCAAGGCTGGTCTCAAACTCCCGACCTCAGGTGATCCGCCCACCTAAGCCTCCCAAAGTTCTGGGATTACAGGCATTAGCCACTGTGCCCAGCCAGAAAGGAATGTTTCTAACCTATCCCAAGTGTATCCTTGTCTAGAGCAACACCAGAATATCATATCAAAGTGGAGGCTGCTGGGAAACATCCTTTCGGTAGGGAGGGGTTAATGGACGAGGATGGAACACGTCTCCTAAGGCAGCCAAAGAAATGGGGATGTGCAGGCACCAAAGCACAGGGCGTGTGTTACGTGATGGAGAAAAAGATCTTACTAGGTGAGAGGAAAAGAAAGAGGGAGTAAATATTTGTCACTGCTATTTAAAAATAAAATTAAAAAGAGTCCAGAAGCAATGGCTCACCCCTGTAATCCCAGCACTTTGGGAGGCCAAGGCGGGTGGATCACCTGAGGTCAGGAGTTCGAGACCAGACTGACCAACATAGCGAAACCCCGTCTCGACTAAAAATACAAAAATTAGCCAGATGTGGTGGTGGGTGCCTATAGTCCCAGCTAGTCGGGAGGCTGAGGCAGGAGAATCGTTTGAACCCGGGAGGCAGAGGTTGCAGTGAGTTGAGATTGTACCACTGCACTCCAGCCTAGGTGACAGAGAAAGACTCTTTCTCTAAATAAATAAATACTGAAAGTAGATTGCCTCTATGAATTAACTTGAATTATTTTGTCCAGCAAGGCATAATCCAATGATCCCAACAAATAATTCAGCACACATTACGATAGCTATGATCCAAATGTCAAAGGGGAAAGGTGGATTGAGGGAGAAAAATGGGTGTGTGTGAAATAGTTGACGTGTACAGTGGACTCAGCACTGAGAAACAAGAGGAAGAGAACTTAAGTGACCACATTTTCTTCTAGCCATCATCTCAAATAACATTTGGAAAACGATTTTAGTAATTTTACTTTTAAGATAAAGCAAAATACTGCTAAATGCCATTCTGTTTCAGTGGGTGTAAGCTTTACTTTATAAACAGAGTATATTGTTCTATATTCTGCACTCTGAAATTCTTAAATAGTTGATGTGTACAGTGGACTGCAGCACTGAGAAACAAGAGGAGAGAACTTACGATGACCACGTTTTCTTTCATCCATAATCTCAAATAACATTTGGAAAACAATTTTAGTAATTTTACTTTTAAGATAAAGTAAAATACTGCTAAATGCAATTCTGTTTCTGGTGGGTGTAAGCTTTACTTTATAAACAGAGTGTATTGTTCTATATTCTGCACTCTGAAATTCCTGCACTTGGTAATGAGAAGCCATCAGTGAAATTTGCAGCTAAATTAAACCCCTCAATCAGCTTCTGACTATGCCAGTTAGTCTATTATAAGAAAGTATTTCTTTTTAACATAATATTATATATATATGCTCTTGCAGATGTAGGTCTTAAAAGTTTGAGAAGTGCATGATTTATGCATAGTCTTTCAAAAGAGAAACTTTAGTAGCACTTTTGATTCATAAATGTTTTGTTTTTTTCCTAATACTTTAACAGTAGAACAGAGATATGGATCATCCCCAGTCATTTTTTTTCATTTATGTATACAGATGTAGGTAACCCCATTTATTTGGAAAGTGACTGTGTTGTATTTAGACAGAGCAAATTGGGAAACAGAAGTACTATAAATGTGAACTGCATGTGCTGTGTGTAGCTCCACTTTGGCATCCTAATAATAGCAGAGTTTCTGAAGCTTAGGTATATTCTTGGAGTGACCCAATTCACTCAATCACTTCCCAGATACAATGAGAGGCTACTGAAGGGTCCAGGACCCCGGCAGATTGGAAGCCTTTGTCCATATTTCAGAATATCTTTGTTCCAATAACAATAGGTGACATCCTGCATAATACAGGGCCATTTGTAAAACTGCCTACCAAAACTTCCTGTTTAGAACGATGCAGAGGGATTTCTGAAAAGCCTGGAGAGGTTAGTGAGAAAGGAAGCCAGACAACGCTGGGATTTCCAGGATTTTCTGTCCTTGAAGATGAAGCCAAATGTGCAGAGGTCAGGAGAAATGGTGCTATTTCAAAGGGGCAACCAACACCCATTGTTAGGACTGAGTTTACACCTCTGTGAGCTAACCAAAGCTATTTAGAAGACAGACATGCTTGTAACTCAGCTGGATCCAAGCACTTTTTTATAGTTCACCAAGCATCCTGCTTATCTTCTTCAAATTTGAAGCTAGGCATTGAGTTGGTCCTTTTCCAAAGACCATCACGTATGAAAATAAAACAAATTTTCCTCAAATTCTCAAAAATGTATTATTGCAGTTTAATTTTGGTGTTTAAAACTTGGCAAATAAAGAAAACAAAGCAATATATCTTCTTAACAAAGTATCACTAAACAACAAAGTTGGAGTCATCACAATTCCTGATTTAAAATTCTGTTACAAGGCTGGGTGCTGTGGCTAATGCCTTTAAGCCCAGCACTTTAGGAGGCCAAGGCAGACAGATTGCTTGAGTCCAGGGGTTTGAGACCAGCCTGGGAAACATGGTGAAATGCCATCTCTACCAAAAAACCACAAAAATTAGCTAGGTGTGGTATGTGCCTGTGGTCCCAGCTACTCTTCGGAGGCTGAGGTGGAAGACTGCTTAAGTGCTTGAGCCCGGGAAGTGGAGGTTGCAGTGCACCGCTGCACTCCAGCCCGGGTGACAGAGCAAGATCCTGTCTCAAAAAAATAAAAGAAATTATGTTACAAAGCAATAGTAATCAAAACAGTATGACACTGACATAAAAGCAGACACATAGCCGAGTGAAACAAAGGAGAGAGCCCAGAACTAAACCTAAATATATGTGGTCAACTAATTTTTGGCAAGGGAGCCAAAAAAACACAATGGGGAAAATATGGTGTCTTCAATAAAAGGTCCTGGAAAAACTGAATCTCTAAATGCAAAAGAATGAAATTGGACCCTTATCTTACACCATACTGAAAATAAATTCAAAACGATAAAATAGCTAAATATATGACTGGAAATCATAAAACTTTCAGAAAATAACATAGGGAAAACTTCTTGACATTGGCCCTGGAAATGATTTTTAAATATCACATAAAAGCTCAGGCTACAAAAGCAAAAATAAATAAATGGGACCACATTAAACTGAAAAGCTTCTGCACAGCAAAGAAAGCATTCATCAAAATGAAAGGACAACCTACACACTGAAAAAAAAAATTGCAAATTATATATTTGACAAAGAATCAATATCCAAAATTTATAAAGAATTCTTATAATTCAATAGCAGAAAAACAAATAACCCAATTTAGAAACAGGCAAGGGAGCTGAATCAACGTTTCTTCAGAAAAGACTTAAGAATGGCCAACAGGTATGTGAAAGGGTGCAAAACATCACTAATCATCAAGGAAATGCAAATTAAAACCACTATGAGATGGCTATTATGAAAAAGACAAGCGATAACAAATGTTGTCAAGGGTGTGGAGAAAAGAGAACCCTATTACGCTTTTGGTGTGTATGCAGATTGGTACAACCACTATTGAAAACAGTGTGGAGGTGCCTAAAAAACTTAAGAATAAAACTAACATATGAACAGCAGTTCCTCTTCTGGGAATATACCCAAAGCAGATGAACTCATCACTTCATAAAGACATCTACACTCCCTTGTTCATTACAGCATTATTCACAATGGCCAAGATATGAAATCCACCAAAGTGTCCATCAAGGGACAAATGGATAAAGAAAATGTGGTATAAATATATATGTAATGGAATATTATTCACTCTTAAAAAATAAGGATATGCTGTCATTTGCCACAACATGAATGGACCTAAAGGACATTGTGCTAAGTGAAGTAAGCCAAACACGGAAAGAAAAATGTTACATAATCTCACTTATATATGGAATATAAGGGAAAAAAACACAGAGAGATAGAGAGTAAAATTGAGATGACCAGTGGCTGGGTGGGGTTGGGAGAGGAAGTGGTGAAATATAGGCCAAAGAATACAAAATAGCAGGTATGTAGGATGAACAAGGAGTCTAGATATCTAATGTACAACATGAAGACCAAAGCTAAAAAGATTAGATTGTGTTAGTTTTTGTTAAGTAGATTTTAGCTGCTCTTATCACACAGAAAAAGTAACTATGTGAGATGATAGATGTGTTAATCTGCTTCACTATTGTAACTATTTTACTACTTATATGTATCCCATAATGTTGTGTTGTAAACTCAGATATACACAATAAAGTTTTAGTTGTTGTTGTTGTTTTCACACGAAGTCTCACTCTTGTTCCCCAGGCTGGAGTGCAATGGTGCGATCTTGGCTCACTGCAACTTCTGCCTCCCGAGTTCAAGCGATTCTCCTGCCTCAGCCTCCTGAGTAGCTGGGATTACAGGTGCCTGTCACCACGCCCGGCTAATTTTTATATTTTTAGTAGAGATGGGGTTTCACCATGTTGACCAGGCTGGTCTCGAACTCCTGACCTCAGGTTATCCACCCACTTCGGCTTCCCAAAGTGCTGGGATTACAAGTGTGACTCTCCATGCCTGGCCTAAAGTTTATTATTATTATTATTATTATTATTATTATTATTTTTAAAGTCCTTTACCCACTAAAAACAACAAAAAAATATCACTAGAGAGTAATGCATATTTCTGGGATTGGTTCATGAGACCAAAAGAGAGATCTGGCAAACATACAAATCACTCAGCCTTTTAAGCACCTAGCAAGCATTTACCTAACAGAGAGGCTCTGCACTGTGGGCCTTGGGTCTAAGCATGGGTTGCACGTGGTCTCATGTCACAGCAATTCCCTTACTGTGCAGCCATGAGATTTTGAGCAAGTTACTTTCTCTTCACCAAGCCTCTGCTTCCTCACTGGTAGGACAGAGACAACAAGAGCACCTTGTGTTTTGAAATGTAGGAAAAAACAGATATGCAGACCATGCAATGGTCCTACCCCCTGCAAATCCATAGAAGAGACACTCTTCGCAAGATTCTCTTGAGAATCGGGGGTTAAAGTGACAGCCCCACAACATCTTCGTATTTCCAACAGGGCTTTCCAAAGAGTTTCCAAATGGTCTAAATCCTTTTGGATACTGACATATATACCACAGTGGTGCTTGTCTCTGAGATCAGTCTTGGTTTATATGGAAAGAAAAGAGGTTTCACTTGAGGTTCATTGACGCAATACAAAAAAATGAAAAAAAAATTATTTGGCAACTTTTTTATTTTGAAGAAAGCATACAGTTAGGATGAAAGCCCAAGAACACAATAAAGCTATAAAGCGTATTCTCTAATAAAATAGTAGCTTAGATGTATTGAGCAGTTAGTCTAGGAAAGGCACTGCTATTCACTTTATATGCAATCACGTCTGTCATTCTCACACCAATCCTAAGAGGGAGAAGCCAATGTTATCTTAATATAACTAATGAGAAAACTGAGGCTGCCAAGCCATTGAGAATCTCACCTAACACCACTCAGCTTGTAAGTCAGAAATCAGCCTCGAAACCTAGACAGTATAACCCCAGCACTTGCAAACCTGCCCACCATCCCACCACACTCCATGGCCTAACAGGATGAACTGTGCCTCTCAGCAGAAATTTCATGGACCCTGGAACTGGAGCATGGAATCAAATCACATAGCTTTACCTGGGAGTTGGAGGGAGGCCTCCTGTAGCATCTAGGTCTCATAAAAATTTTATAAATATGGGCAGACCAGGGAGTATTTCATCAACTGGACCAGTATCAAGGCTTCCAAAGAGATCCCAGTATCATTCCTAACCAACCATGTGAACACGTGCATGTTACTAGCCTCTCTGAATCTCAGTAACTCACCTATAAAATGAGAATGAGAATATCTCACTCCTAGAGTCCTGGGAGATTGGAAGACATCATCTACATGAAATGCTTACAGAAAGCATGACAGGAAATGCTTTACATTGGTTTTTCTTGACAATTCTTGATCTTTAAGTTTGTTTTATTTTATTTTATTTATTTTTTGGAATGGAGTCTTGCTCTGTCACCCAGGCTGGAGTGCAGTGGCACCATCTCAGCTCACTGCAACCTCTACCTCCCAGGCTCAAGCGATTCTCGTGCCTCAGCGTCCCAAGTAGCTGGGATGACAAGCATGTGCCACCATATCTGGCTATTGATCTTTAACTTCTAAATCCCCACCAGCCTGGATAAACTCACATCACCATTTTGCCTAAATCTGCTAGTTTAATAGGCCCCAACTGTTAATACAAACAGAAAATAACTGCATGCTGTAGTATTGTCTGATTTCTGTGGTGTAAATTTGAAGCTACTAATGACTATGATAAGAATATTTACACCATGGAAATTGGCCAACACTACAAATCAGAGTTGTTTGTGTTATTTTGTTTCATTTTGTTTTGTTTTTTTTACCAAAATACCACTTTTCTTTTTTGTTTTTTAACTAGAACCTTCATCACCAGTTCATCTGTCAATTCATTAAATATTTATTGAGAAAATACTATTCCTGGACTTGAGCATAGACCAGTAAATAGGAGAGGTAGGGCTCTGCCTTCATGGAGCCTACATTTTAGTGAAAGGTGACAAATCATAAACAAGTAAATCAGTGAACTTGACAATTTCAAATTTCAATACAAGGTAAGAAGAAAATAAAGCAAGTGTAGAGTGTGACTTGGGGAGGAGAGGCCATCACTCGGGGGCTATAAGGAAAGGCACGTCTAAGAAGGTGACACTTGAATAGAGCAGAGGATGGCAGGGAGGAGGATGGCAGGGAGCCAGCCACAGGAAGAACCGGGGCAAGAAAATTCCCGGCAGGAGCACATGCATGCAGAGGCTCTGAGGCAGGAGGAGACATAGCTGAGCCTGGAAATGCAGCTAGCATGCCACTGCCAGATGAACACAGGGCATAGCTGTGTGACGATGCTGGCAAGACAGGAAGGAGAGCCCACCCTGACAGGGCCTTGCAGGCCACACCGGGTGGTGCTTGAGTGTCACCAGCAGGTGCATCTGCAGCTCCAGCTAAGGCTGGATGAGGCAAGTGCTGGAAGAGATGGGGGGCTTCCTAACATGCTCCCATCTGAACCCTTGCTCTCACCTAATAGAACCCTACTCTGTTCTCATTATCAGCTTTAGTGGTATCAAGTCCAGGACCAAGGCAAGCACTTCCCCAGATATAACACCAATAGAGGTTGTCCATGGAACCAAATGATCTCCAAACTGAATCAAATGAGCTAGGAGACAATTGATCTTGAACAAGAGACAAGAGAAGTTTGGATATCTGCTACCAGCAGGCACTCTGATACAATATTTTGATTATGAGGTCATGTTGTACAACAACCAATTTCTCTAACTTGACAGGTACCAGATGCACACACTTGAGTTGTGTTGATAGAAGCTCAGCTGTATCCAGTGACTTGTGACAGGTATCTGTTTCCTTCTTTATTTCAATTGCATCCTTGCCCTGTTTCAGAACCCCGTCTAATACCTACAATCATACTCAAGAAATACAACGTCGGGCAAGTGATTCAACACTGCTATTCCTCAGGTTCCTCATCTATAAAATGGGCTAATAATATAATAGTACATGCTGGAGTGGGCAGTATGAGGCCTGGATAAATTGATTTGATGCTTTTACAAGCCCTTAGAGCCATACCTGACACAGAGTTAAGGGTCCAATAAATATCAACTAATTAATTGATTGCTAATCAACACCTCTCCATCTGCTCTTTATGGAACTTTGCTCTAGAAAAAAAAAAAAAGCAATCACAGAATTCAGGAGCCTGAATAACCTGTACAGGCTGAGCACCTCAAGTCTGAAAATCTGACATCCAAAATGCTCCAAAATTTGAAATTTTTTGAATGCCGACATGAGGCTGAAAGGAAATTCTTATTTGGAGCATTTCAGATTTTGGATTTTTGAATTTGTGATGCTCAACTGATAAGTATAATGCAAATATTCCAAAATCCAAGATGATGCATTGGAATGAGGAAGAAAACAGATATCTGTCACAAATCACGGGACACAGCGGGGCTTTCATCAACCTGTCCCCCTACCTGCGGCTGTGAAAATCTGAAATGCTCCAAAAAAATTCATGATCCAAAACTCTTCTGGTCCTAAGCACTATGAATAAGGGATACTCAACCGTCCTATTGTTTAGCCACCTTCTGCCCTTGACTGGCGAAAGTGTCCAGGGCAGGGGACTAAGATTTTCTTCCGGAAGCTCCCTAGGAAGCTCTTCATGTAATTCTTATTTCCTCCTGCTCAGTCCTCTACAGAGAAGGGCAGAAGATCAAAGCCAGTTTGGTTTGCTCAAGGACAGGTGGTTCTTACTCTCTAGCAACACAGTCCCAGGGCCCTAAGCCTTCTGGTCAACCACTCTTCATTATTTTTGCCACTTTCTCCGGAAAAGTTGGGTTTCTTTGCATCCTTTTTGAAATATGTTACAGAGACATGAGCGCAACCCATGCCCTTGGACAGAGGTGTCCTGTCAAGAAGGCCCCATCTCTGGGTCTAGGCCCTGTGTGCCACTGAGGTCCCTGTAAAGCCCTTCTTTCCCAGCCCATCTGTCTGGGGTCACTTCTGGCCCCAAGCTCTTTTCTTCCAATATTTGTACCTAACAAGCCTTTTTTTTCTTGCATTTGTACTGTTTGAATTTCATCAAGCATATAATTGTGTTTGTTCCAATGGTAAAAATAATATTTTACTATTTACCTACTTTTTTCAAAGGGCATAGGTTCTCTAAATACTAAGTGGTAGGCAGTGTGCTGAGGGCTGGGGCTGCCAAGGTGAGTCAGAGAAACCCCTGAGTGTGCTGTGCTACCTGCCCGGTGCAGGAAACAGATATCCGAACAGACGATGGGAAAGAAGTGGGTTCTGTGAAGGTGAACAAATGTCCAGGAGGGACATGGGAGGCTGCCTCCAGGGCTGATCTAAACAGACCCCCACGCCTACCCCAGGTTTTCTGGGGGTTTTACTGCTGCTGCCGCTGATGTGAAAGGCGGTCCGTGATGTTGGTGCTCTCCCTTCCCCTCTCTTCCATCCTTCCCAGAACTCTGTGCCTTGGGCCAGGCAAGCTCAACCTTAAAGAGCGGAGGAAGAGGTGAGAAAGAATGAATGAATATTGGCCGGGTGCGGTGGCTCACGCCTGTAATCCCAGCACTTTGGGAGACCGAGGCTGGTGGGCCACCTGAGGTCAGGAGTTGGAGACCAGCCTGGCCAACATGGTGAAGCCCGTCTCTACTAAGAATACAAAAATTAGCCAGACATGATGGCACAGCCTGTAATCCCAGCTACTCAGGATTCTGAAGCAGGAGAATCGCTTGAACCCGGGAGGGAGGTGGAGGTTGCAGTGAGCCAAGATCGTGCCACTGCACTTCAGCCTGGGCAACAGAGCGAGACTGTCTGAAAAAAAAGAAAAAGAAAAAGAAAAAAAAGAATGAATGAATCTACTTCTTCTTCTGTTAAGACAAAAAGGCCCCTAATATTTTTCCAGAGGAAGAGATAGAAGAGGTAATAGCAGCTGAGAGCACCTAGAAAAAAACAGCACTTCCCAGCTGTAGCTCTCTCCAGTGAAAACGCTGAACTCAGAACAAGCATTGTGAAGTCGCAGGCGAGAGAGGCCAGCTCAGGAGGGCCCCCTGACCGCCCCAACAGACCCCACTCACAATCTCTGCTGCACATCTGCCCATGGAACAATGGCACTCCGAGCTCCTGCTCCAGATCCTCATCTTCAGCTAACAAATCAGAAAGATGAACGTCCACGGGCAACGCAGAAAACATCATAGAGATCCCTACCCAGGTTTGTCCTCTTGCTCAAAGAAAGAAGGTCGTGCATTCAGGACAAGTAACGACTTGCTGTAGCTTATCTCCTTCAATCCCAAATAGTTCTCATAGTTGGCTGAGAGAGGAGAGACCAGCCGCCTGTAATACCATCTATGATGCCTGCTCCCTTCTCTCCCTTCCAACATTTCTCCTTGACAACCCCACACCAAGAATAAACAGACGGGAAGGCAAAGATGAGCTACAAAGTTTTGAGCAACAAAGCAGGTCAAGTGGGGAATGAATACTCCCCAGCAAAACACAGAGGATCCGATTCAAGAGTTCATTGTGAATATAAGCACATAGGTTAAGCCTGCATACACCGAAAATAAAAATAACCATGCCTGATTTCAAGACTGAGACAGAAGAAAAAAATTACTCAGATAGATACGGTGGTCATCTTCACAGCCTTTTGAGCTAGCCAATATTCACTTCAATTGCCTGAGGTTTGCAGTAACTCGCTTTGGGTTCTAAAAGACACAGTGGGCTCACTGTCCCCCTTTGGGTGTCCCTCTCTGCACAGATAAACCAGCGGCACGCGGAGGGCATGAGATAGAAGCCTGTCCACAAGGGAGGAATTATCTTTTACAGGCAATCTGGGAGCACCATTGAAAAATGCTCTTCTGTGATGAAATTATGAATGCTTTCACATCAAACAAAAATGTATTGTCTAAACCCTGGGTGAATATTGGATGTCATTTTTTTTTCTGCTCAGCATTTTGATATAACTATGCAATAATCTCCAAGTAATTTCATGTTTACATACACCAGGTGACACACGGCATATGTGAAATTATGGCACTTAGGAATATTAAAGGCATCTAATGCATAATGAAAACCGTATATTGAAGAATAATTTTTCTTCTACAGTTTTATAAGCAGTTGACAAAAAGCTGACAGGAGAAATTCTTCCAATAATGGAAGTACTCTCAGGTTTAATTCTCTTATAACAATTCTATTATGCATAAAGTAAGACGGAAGAAGTCATTGGCTTATGATCTAAAGGAAAGCATAATCGCAAAACTATTGCAATCAATGCTGTTGAAAATAATTCTGCAGATAAAAATTTAATAATTTTATATGAAGATACACTGAATTACAATTTTAGGTCAAGTTGATCTTTCAAAGACAGACTGACTACCTTTTTGAACAAAAAAGACTATGCCACGTGGTATAGTTTATGTCTACCCTTTGTCTAAGGAAGCAAAATACATTTGAACAATTATTTAATTGAATCTACTTAACATCATTGATTATTTACACCTAAAATAACTGCTAGCTAAATATCAGGATTTCTGTCTTAAAATTGTCCAGATCATTTCCTCAGATCTCCAAAATGTTTTGCTAATAATACATGCCTAAATAAATATACCTAATTAAGCAAAACAATGCGGATTTGGTTCATTAATCCTCTTCATCAACAAGGTCATTTATTAAACACCTATTTTGTGCTAGCCATTAAAGGAAGCTCGTGCTAATGAGCCTTTCTCCTGATAAAAAGTGAAGAGTTTGGAAGAGGCAGACCATGTTTTCCGCAGCCTAGGCCACACCACGTCACTTTTTTTTTTTTTTTTTGAGATGGAGTCTTGCTCTGTCCCCCAGGCTGGAGTGCAGTGGCATGATCTCGGCTCACTGCAAGCTCCGCCTCCCAGGTTCACGCCTTTCTCCTGCCTCAGCCTCTTGAGTAGCTGGGACTACCGACCCGCCACTATGCCTGGCTAATTTTTTGTATTTTCAGTAGAGACGGGGTTTCACCATGTTAGCCAGGATGGTCTCGATCTCCTGACCTCGTGATCCACCTGCCTTGGCCTCACAAAGTGCTGGGATTACAGGCGTTAGCCACTGCACCCGGCCTTCTTTTTTCTTGAGATGGAGTCTCACTCTGCTGGAGTGCAATGGCACGATCTCTGCTCACTGCAGCCTCTGCCTCCCTCCTCAGTAGCTGTGACTACAAGCAATTCAGCTGCGTCAGCCTTCCAAGTAGCTGGGACTGCAGGCGCATGCCACCATGCCTGGCTGATTTTTGTATTTTTTGTAGAGACGGGGTTTCATCATGTTGTCCAGGCTGGTCTCGAACTCCTGACTTCAAATGATCAGCCCGCCTCGGCCTCCCAAAGTGCTGGGATTACAGGCGTGAGCCAGCGTGACTGAGCCCACATCACTCTTTAAGCCTTGCTTCCTCTGCCCAGTTAGACAGCCCACCTCTGCCCACACAGCCCACCTTGTCTCAACTTCTATCCTTATTTGGTCCATTACATTTTCGGGTGCAAGTTCTGCTTCACAGGCAGCAAAATGTGCTAAAATCCTTCCAGGCACAGAGGGAACATCAGCTCCTTCATGAGCTCTTCCCTGATGTGGGTCATCCATGGTTCATTGTTTCGAGGAGCTTAAAAGACTGACATGTGTCCACGTGTGCTAAAAATGGAAACGCCTGAGCTACATGACATTTAAAGGAAACGGGCAGAAGCACGTGCAGGTTATTCTCCACCGTCACCGCCCAGCCCCGTTCTCTGCCTGCTTGGCCCTGGAAGGTGGCAGCTGAACGAGTTTGGCTTAGTGAAGACAGTAGAGATGTCTGGGAGGGAGGAGCGACTTCAGGTTTTCTTGCCCTGTGCCCTCCCTGCTTGGGCACCGCCTCATGGCGATAACAGGGTTCCTCCTGGGTTCCTCGAACCCGGTGGCCTTTCTCAGGGTGCTGTTTCTGGCTGGGCTCCTTCACTAACGCATGTCTTTACGTTGCCCTGGGTCCTGGGGTGCTGTGGCTCCCCATTTGCTGGTCTCTGGGGTCTCACTGTGTCTTTATCACGTCCACCAGCAGGAGACACTGGAGCCAGGTCTAGTGTATTGAGATATTTTTAAAGTAGTT
Source organism: Homo sapiens (assembly GCF_000001405.40). Classification (NCBI taxonomy): domain Eukaryota; kingdom Metazoa; phylum Chordata; class Mammalia; order Primates; family Hominidae; genus Homo; species Homo sapiens. The sequence goes on along the minus strand of NC_000010.11, from coordinate 3,909,156 downwards.
TGAATGACATCTCATGATTTTTATTTGTTCTTAGAGGTCTTCCAAAAGGCAAAGAAAAAGAATACATTTTTTTTTTTTTTTTTTTTTGGCCAGGTGTGGTGGGCTCATGACTATGATCCTAGCACTTTGGGAGGCCAAGGCAGGCACATCGTTTGAGCCCAGGAGTTCAAGACCCACCTGAGCAACAGAGTGAAACCCTGTCTCTACGAATACTTTAAAAATGAGCCAGGCGTGGTGGCACTCACCAGTGGTCCCAGCTACTCAAGAAGTGGAGGTGAAAGGATCACTTAAGCCCAGTGGTCGAGACTGCAAAGAGCCATGATCATGCCATTGCACTCCAGCCTGGGCAACAGAGTGAGGCCCTGTTTCAAAAAAAAAAATACCATTTTTGTAACACAATAAAACATTTAATCTTTTCATTGTCATATAAGTCCATTGGATTCTGTTTTAAAAATTACCATTTTTATAACAGAACAAAATGTATTTAATCTTCTAATTGTCATATAAGTTCATTGAGTTCTGTTATAAAATCAAGATACATTACGGAATCTTTGAGGTCTTATTTTTCCCCTGTCTTAAAATGTTTCATTATTTTTTAATCTGAGGGATTATATCATTATCACTCATCCTTACTCAGCGATTATTCCCAATAATGCTAAAAAATACTAAAATAATGGGAGATGGAGGCGATATGGAAGGCCTACGAGGTGATGCAAATGCCAAACAAGTAATAGTTTCCAGTTTTCTTCTTCCAGTTTCCAAACGATTGCACAATCTTCCGAGAAGATTCGGAAAAAGACTGGCAGCAGCATCTTTGTGAAATGTCGTAGTTCTCATTGATCAGCGTTGAGAAATCAGAACTTTTTATTTTCTATTTTTTATTAATGACAAATCAGAAAACTAACAGTGGAAAACCATCCACACATATTAATCAGAAGATGGAGGCAAAGAGACGGAGATGAGTTCTCTAAACGCCAGTGAAGTCAGAATGGATGTGTAAGTGAAATCGCAGATGGTACACTTTCAGACGATGATACTCTAGATTAACTTTCTTCAGCCCAAGAATCCTTGAGTGATAGTTACCAGGGGCTGAAGAAAGAAGTAGGAGGAAATTTTGGGGGGTGATGGAAGTGTTTTATGAGTTGATTCTTAACATTTATTATTCTACCTATAACTTTGAAAAAAATTATATACATGAAATGGTTGAACTTTGTTGTGTGTGAAGCATGCCTCAATAAGACTGAAATTATTATTATCCATCACTGTATAACAAACTATCCCAGGACATAGTGGCTTAGAACAACATACCTTTATGATCTCAGCTTCTTTGGGTCCGAGATCTGGCACAGCTCGGCTGGAACCTTCCACAGGCTGCAGCCAGCAGCAGCTGGGCTGTGGTCACCACATAGCTCAGCCAGGAAGGGGTCACTTCCAAGCCACAGGGCTGTTGGCCAGACGTGGCTGCTCACAGGCTGTTGGTTGGAGGCCGCCCTCAGGTCCCTGCCTCTCCATGGAAGCTTTCTACACCACGGCAGCTTGCTTCATGAAGCACCAACTCAGGAGGGCAGTGGAGCCTGCTACCTGGGCAATCACGTTTTGTAACCTAATAATTGAAATGAGACCCCTCACTTTTGCTGAGTTCTGCTGGGGAGAACAAAGTCACTAAGTCCAGCCCCCTCTCCAGAGGCTAGGGTACCCAAGGCTGGTGTGAATATCAGGGGACGGGTGTTATCGGCAGCTGTTTAGAAGTCTGCCCACCACAAATATATCTCTAAGGACCACCAGGAACATTTTCTCTAATGAAAAGTTTACTTTTCACACCTGTAAATTACCTGTAGAAAAACTTTAAAATGTTTAAAATGTACAAATACAAAGGGTCTTTTGGACCCAGACAGCACATGACAATTATGTTTTCAGGTGTGCTGACACCTCACTCTGCTGAGAGTTAAGTCTGTGAGTTGTCTCCACCAAGAGCTCCTCGTTTGAATCACCCTGCGAGAACTTTGCTTCCTTCAAGAACCCTCATTCATAAAAACAATGCATAGAATTTGAACACGTTGGTATTTTTTTTTTTAAAAAAAAAAAAGGAACTCAGTTTAGAAAACACCAAAAAGAACAAAGATGTGCAGTGAGGCTGGTGCCGCGTCACAGTGGCTCCAAAAGAATTCCTGGAGAGGTTGAGCGTGCAGAGGTCATGGTGTTCCTGCCCCGCTGCTGTATTTGGTTATAAACAAGCCAAAGGAATTGCTCAGGACACTGGCAAGTGTTTCCCCCGATGTTGCTTCTGCTGTTGTTCATTCATTTCTTTCCAAACAAAATCGAGAAAGCTGAATGCACATTTTGGTAATCAAAAGTTGTGGAGAAATAGGGAGTCTAAACCCTCCCTCTGGAAGTGAAGAGCTTCAACGATAACATTTGGCCGGTTTGTTTTCTCGTGTTTACTCGGTCCGTTACCATAGGAATGTTTTCATATACAAACACTAAGCCTTGGCAGGCGAGGCCCCTTCGGGTACCTAAGACCCCATCTGCTGCACGCAGGGCCTGAGTCTTCCATGCTTTCTCTGTGATTCAGTTTTAACAACATTACAGCTCACGACTCATAAATGCCTTAGATGATTGTTTGTTCGTAACAACACAGATTTTAAGAGATAGCGAGACAGTCAGCCTGAACCCAGAAGAATAATTTACCTTCAGCTCGCATGTTCAGAAGTCACTGTGGAACTCCCAATAGGTGAAATCTTGTTAGATCTCTGAATTTTAAGGTAAATCATATCAACCTTCAGATTTGAGAGAGATATGTAAACTAATACCGATTTTTGTAAAAGGATCTGAGGGATGCCTCATGTTGATGATAGACTGGCTTGGGCCTAGAAAGCCTATGTAGTGATGGTGTTTTTAACTGTGATTTGAATTGGTTTCGTACTCCCCCTTCCTCCTCCCCTTTCCACCCCGTCCCCCACCCCGCCCAGCCCTCGTGTCACTAACTAGCTGTGTGACTTGCAGGCATATCTGACACTCTGTGAGCATCTGTCCCTTCTCTACATTATGGTGGTGTTTTCTCCATGGGCTTTTTGTAAATACTAAACCAGAGAAGAAATCACTGCAGCCTGTTGCCTGTTCTCACTTTTCTCCCCCTTCTTTTTTTCCCCTAATCTTGCCTAAGAGAATTAGGTTCATTAAAGAATAGTAATAAGGAAATTACCCTATTGTGGCCATTTTGGCCAAAGCTGTAAGGCCCTGAGGCTATAATGTTCTCAAAACAATTTCTGTTTTCAAGGTATGTGGTCACCTAATCACTTCAATCCCCACCGGGGCCATAACAGAAGATTGCCACTTTGCTAATTTTACAGATAAAGAATCTGAAGAGAAACGAAGACGGGCAATTTAGAAACACAGCTGTCACTACAAAATTGAATCTACTTGTGTCTAAAAGTAACTGTGTATTCAATGCTTGGGCTCAAATAATAAAAGAAAGAAAAAGAAAAGAGAACAGAAAACTAAAAAGTTGTTGCATAGATAAGTGAGTGTTATGGCTAATACATTTTTGTCAATAAGCTTAAAAAATTGAGAAAATTATGCTTAGAAAATTATGTTTCTTTTTTTTTTGAGACGTAGTCTCACTGTGTCGCCAAGCTGGAGTGCAGTGGTGTGGTCTCAGCTCACTGTGACCTCTGCCTCCTGGGTTCAAGGAATTCTCCTACCTCAGCCTCCTGAGTAGCTGGGATTACAGGCACCCGCCACCACATCCAGCTAATTTTTGTATTTTCGGTAGAGACAGGGTTTCAATCGCCAGGATGGTCTCGATCTCTTGACCTCGTGATCCACCCACCTCAGCCTCCCAAAGTGCTGGGATTACAGGTGTGAGCCACCGTGCCCGGACATTCCTTTTTTTTTATTTTTTTTTTATGAAATGGTTCATTTCAGAGAACCTCTGAACCTCTGACCTAAATTGTTGTGATATTATCATACTTTATCTAATGGTATGAACCCAACATAGGAGAGATGGATGATTATGACTTTGACTTGTGTTCTCCTGGACTCTGGAAAATGTCCTCCCTCCAGACCACCTAACTCAGATAACTGCAGTGTCCTCTTTGGTGACACTCCCTATTTCCCTAACCCCAACGTGGCAGAGTCGGCCACTTCTTCCCTTCAATCCCCTCAACCTCCTAGGCTTTGCTGTATGATAACTCAGTCAGAAACTCCTCTACTATTTTCTATTTTTCCTCTTTCTGGGCCTTCAAGAACCACATACGAATTTAGAATTAGTTTCTGAACCACACTGTTTGCTGGTAACTATCCAGGTGGAAAGATGAGGCCAGTATTTGTAGCGTCTCCCTCATGGTGGTCCATCTTTTCTCTTCAATTTCCTAAAACAACAACCTGAGCATGGAAATCCCCCAGTGATAAGGCTTCGGTGGTTCCTCATTATTTCAGAATTAAAGCCAAAGTCCTTATCAGACCTCTGGTCTGCCTCTCCTGCCCTCTCTGCCACTGCAAACCTTCTGCACCCGACATCCTTGCCCGATCAGCCTGCCTGTCCTTCCACAAGCACCTCCTCAAGTGCACTGTTGCTAAAGTGATTTGTTTGTTTAAAAAGCCTTATCCTTTAGTCTACACAATCCTTTAGGTTTATCCCTAATCCTACCTCAAGGGGTATTTTCAAATCAAAAGACCTCACTCTTTCTGTCCCCTCATACCAATAGAGCTTGCTTTATTGTTATAAACATATCTTAGCATACCTGGTATCAGAATTGTTTCCATCTGTGTCTTCCTCCAGGCTGATTTCTAGGACTGCCTAATTTACTCCCATGGGGCTTATGACAGTGTTTTGGACATGGCAAGAAATTAATAATTCTTGTCTGACTGTACTAATCTGATTACTGAATGTATTACTCTTAACCCCAATTTTTTTGGCCTGAGTTTGGGTCCATTGTCACAGGTATGCCTTGTTTTAGCCAACACTCAATGTGCCTTACCTCCTTATATCCAAATGCCTTGCAGTCACCTTTGCTTGGATATTTAATAGAGTTAAAGCGTCACCTGGTCCTCATCTAACTTTTGACATCCTCCCCAAATGCTGCCATATCTTCAGTCTTTCCCATCTCAGGAAATAGCCCAGGCTTTTATCTCATTACTCAGGTCACAAAATAAAGTCATCTATTTTTCTTCTCCCTCTCTTACCTTCATTAGCGTGTCCTATCAACAGTCATCTCAGGCGGGGCGTGGTGGTTCACACCTGTAATACCAACACTTTGGGAGGTCAAGGCAGGCAGATCACCTGAGGCCAAGAGTTCGAAACCAGCCTGGCCAACACAGTAAAACCCCATCTCTACCAAAAGTACAAAAATTAGCCAGGCATGGCGGTGGGCACCTGTAACCCCAGCTACTCTGGAGGCTGAAGTGGGAGCCCGGGAGGCAGAGGTTGCAGTGAGCCGAGATTGTTCCACTGCACTCCAGCCTAAGCCACAGAGAGATACCCTGCCTCAAATGAACAAACAAACAACAACACAAAAACAGTCATCAGAATATATCAATATATATATATATATATATCAGTATATCAATATGTCAATATATGTCAATAGAATGAGATATTATATTCTATATTAGATATTATAGCTATATTCTATTGATATATATCAATAGAATGAGATATATATTGTTCTGTATATATATCAATAGAATAAGATATATATTGATATTGATGTGTGTATATATATATATATCAATAGAATGAGATATAGAATATATCAATATATCTTGAATCTAACAGCTTCTCATGGCCTCGTCTGCGCCACCTGAGGGCAAGCCTCCATCACCTCTTATGTAGCGCACTGCAGTAGGGACCCCCAGCTGGTGCTCCTGCTTCCCTTCAAGTCCCCGTACTCCATCTGCTGCCTGGCAGCTACTGTACCCCTAAAGCGCCCCTGTCCTGAGTATCTCAGTGTGCTCACCCTCCCTGGCATGCGCTTGTTCTGCCATCCTTCACTGTCTCCCCTTCTCTCTAGATCCTCTCTTTCTCTCCCATCCTCACATACATGACTCCAACTCCACTTCCATTCTGGATCACACTGTGTCCCAGTGATCTCTGAACATCAACTACTTTGTATTAAAATCCCTTCATTTCTGCTTAGGAATCATATGCTATTTGGTTTCCTTGTTCTTTAGAAGTTATTTTCCACCAAGCTTGAACTGTCAGTAAAAGCTGACTCAGAGGCTAGACACTCATCCAGTGCTAGGAAATACAGGAGAAAAATATTTACAGTGAAGTGTTATTAATTATTTTACTCTATCAAAAACTGGTGTTCTGCCTTTTAAATATTAGGTTGGTGCAAAAGTAATTGTGGTTTTTGCCATTACTTTAAATGGCAAAAATTACTTTAAATGGCAAAAACCACAATTACTTTCAATGACTTTTGCACCAACATAAATACTTAGAAGTTAATTAGTGGCCAGGGAGCTGTCAGCACAAAAGGTCTGTGAAGCGACGTGGCACTGCCGTCACGAGAGCACCTCTTTCTACTTCTGTTTTGCTGTGAAACAAAAGAGGCCAAAGAGGAATCAAGAGGTGTAAACAGAAAAGGGACTTTCCGTGAGAGAATTTTTAGAAAAGGTTCTGTGAGGTCACCCTTGTTCTTGATGAAGGACCCCTGATGGCCCAGCCCTGAGCCTGCATCCCCTGGAAAGTGTGTGCAGAACCTCACAGACAGTACTGATGGTTTCTTGAATGTACTTGTGCTTATAATGATTGACGATATAGGTTGCCAAACAAAAAAAAAGTCCAGTTTGTTTCAACATATTCCTTGGATAGTATAATTCATTCTCAAATGAAGAACAGTACAACAAATCAACCACACAAACCTTTATGCATTGCTGTCAATTAATTCCAAAACAGTAGATGTCGCAAGACCATTTCTTTCAGGAGTATGATGCCCAGAGAGTGGCCAGGCTTCTGAGCGATATCCTAATAAGATGATGCCCTAACTCTTCACTGGGTCATGGGAGCAAACATTTCATTGGGTTGGTGTAAAAGTAATTGAGGTTAAAACCAACCACCATTTTTGGTACTTTTGCACCAAACCTGATACATAACTTTTAAAGTTATCCAAACTGTACACTATTCTTCGTAACTATTTTTTTGTGTGAAAATAAGCTAATTAAGAGGAAATCTAATAGAGCTGACACAGACTGCACTTTTACCCTGTCCTGTTAAAGGGAGTTGACTGCTAAGTCAGGACATCTAAATCAAGATCCCGCTTGGTAGTAGTGCACCTGAATCCTGTGTCCCAGCAGTACGTTGAACTGAAAGTGTGGTGCTGGACTCACAAATGTAAGAGCACACACAAGAGCTAATTGTAACAGACATGTATTGAATGTTGACAGCATTAATAAATCAAGGGGAAAATGTATACTTTCTCATATAATGTTTCATTACTTAAATTATTTTGAATGTATAAGTACATGTGTAGTCATTTGTTAATTTTCTTATGGAAAGGATCTGGTAGTGTAGTTTTTGTTTTGTTTTGTTTTGAGACAGGATCTTGCTATCACTCAGGCTGGAGCACAGTGACATAATCGTGGCCCCCTGCAGCCTCATCCTCCCAGATTCAAGGGATCTTCCCACCTCAGCTTCCTATGTAGCTGGGACCACAGGCATGTGCCGCCATGCCTGGCTAAGTTTTTGTACTTTTTGTAGAAACTGGGTCTCACTATGTTGCCCAGGCTGGTCCCAAACTCCTGGGCTCAAATGATCCACCCATGTTGGCCTCCCAAAATGCTGGGGTTACACCTGTGAGCCACTACACCCAGACTGGGAGTGTATATTTCTTTGATTCCCAACATAGAAACTGGCATATTGTTAAGAATATAATGAGAACTCAATATGTATTGGTTGATCTGACTAATAAGTCTCTATATAATTTGGTCATTACATGACTATTATAAATTTTATAAATTTCACATAGATGGATTTGAAATACATTCATTTAAATGTTTAGATTGTTTGGAGGTTCAGTGTTTCTAGGTGAAACACACTATTTTTCAAAGTTATGGCAGTGATGCCTTACACTCATATAGGGATATAATTTAAAATGTTTTTTTCCACACTATGTTCTCACATAATCACTTTTATAAAGTAGATTTTTTTTTGTTTTTTCTTCAACTTTTATTTTAGATACAGGGGAACATGTGCAGATTTGTTACACGGGTATATTACATGATGCTGAGGTCTGGGACACAAAAAATCCCGTCACCCACGGAATGAGCATAGAACACAGTATTTTTTGTGGTTTTTTTTTAGAGTCAGGGTCTCAATCTGTGCCCCAGGCTGGAATGCAGTGGTGCTATCATACCTCACTACAGCCTCCAAATCCTGGGCCCAAGCAATCCTCCTGCTTCAGCCTCTAGAATAGCTGACTACAGACATGTGCCTCCATACTCAGCTAATTTTTTTTATTTTTAGTAGAGATGAGGTCTTGCAGTGTTGCCCAGGCTGATTTCAAACACTTAGCTTCAATGAATCATCCCACCTGTACCTCCCAAACTGCTGAGATTACAGGCATGAGCCACCATGGCCTGCCAATGAAGTAGGTATTTTTAACCCCATTTTATAGATAAGAAACCGAAGGCTCAGCAAGTGTGAATACAATTTCCAAAGTTGTATATTTTATGTAAGAACAGTTAGCCCTTAAACCACATATCCTGACTTTTAGTTCAGTGGGTTTTTTAGTTAGTTTGTTTGTTTGAGACGGAGTCTCACTCTGTCACCCAGGCTGGCGTTCAGTGGCGTGATCTCAGTTCACTGCAGCCTCCCCTTCCCGGGTTCAAGGGATTCTCCTGCCTCAGCCTCCTGAGTAACTGGGACTACAGGCACCCACCACCACACCCAGCTAATTTTTGTATTTTTAGTAGGGACAGAGTTTCACCATGTTGGACAGGCTGGTCTTGAACTCCTGACCTCAAATGATGTACCCGCCTCAGCCTTCCAAAGTGCTGGGATAACAGGCGTGAGCCACCACGCCCGGCCTAGTTCAGTCGTCTTTACGCTGTGTCTTGGTTAAGTGCTTTTGATTCTTCATAAGCTAACTCTCATTCAGTTTTACAATTATTTTATTTAATTTTGCTTTTTCTTCCTAGTTTCCTAATTATCTTCAATTAAAAAAGTGCATAATAAAAAAAAAGTGTGTCAAAGTGCTACCATCTCATTGATCCTTTCTTTTTTTCTCTTTCTTTTCTTTTTCTTTCTTTCTTTTCTTTCTTTCTTTCTCCCTCCTTCCTTCCTTCCTTCCTTCTTTCTTTCTTTCTTTCTTTCTTTCTTTCTTTCTTTCTTTCTTTCTTTCTTTCTTTCTTTCTTTCCTTTCTTTCTTTCCTTTCTTTTCTTTCTTTTCCAAGGTCTCTCACTGTTGCCCAGGCTGGAGTGCAGGGTGTGGTCATGGCTCACTGCAGTCTCAACTCCCAGGCTCAAGCAATCCTCCTGCCTCAGCCTCCAGAGTAGCTGGGACCACAGGCATGTGCACCACTATGGCTGGCTACTTTTTGTATTTTTTTGTAAACACAGGGTTTTGCCATGTTGCCCAGGCTGGTCTCAAACTCCTGGGCTCAAGAAACCCTCTTGCTTCAGCCTCCCAAAGTGCTTAGATTGCAGGCATGAGCTGCCAGGCCCGGCCATCACTGACCCTTTCTAAAGGGCAGTATAAAGAGGTGGAATGAGCACAGTTTCAATCAAAGATCCAAGCATCAGCTTGGCTTTGCTGGGTCTTGGCTGTGAAGTTCTCTGGGCCTCAGCTTCCTTAAATGTAAAGAAGGAATAATAATAATAATAATAATAATAATAATAATAATAATAATATAATAGCCCTTACTTCCCAGGGTTGGAAAGATGATGAAATGAAACAGCTCTGGATAAAAGCATCCTAAAATTTATAGGTTTACACGTTTAGCAAATTGAACCTAATCCAAGAGCTCTACAAGGAGCCAAAACAGAATATGCCTAATCATGAAAAAAATGCAAGAAGAGCAAATATGTATCTAATGCCTCTTTCATGCCAGGTCCTGAGCAAGCAGAAAATAATGCAGACAAATGTCCTTACCTGCAGGGAGGTCACGTGGTACTCAACAAGCTGGGCATGAGGCAGCCGTGTCATGTCTCAGGCTGCTTCCTATGCCATGGCTGTAGATAAAGCACAGAGCTGCATAGCAGGGCCAGACAAGGGAAGCAGATGTCTGCAAAGACCTGGAGGTGTCTTCAAGGGGAGAACATTCCAGCCAGAGGCAAAGACTCTGAGGAAGAAATATTTAAAGAGGGCCGGGCGGGTGGCTCAAGCCTGTTATCCCAGCACTTTGGGAGGCCAAGGTGGGTGGATTAATTGAGGTCAGGAGTTTGAGACCAGCCCAGCCAACATGCTGAAACTCTGTCTCTACTAAAAATGCAAAAATTAGCCGTGCATGGTAGCGAGCACCCATAATCCCAGCTACTCAGGAGGCTGAGGCAGAAGAGTCACTTGAACCCGGGAGGTGGAGGTTGCAGTGAGCCGAGAAGATCACACCACTACACTCCAGCCTGGGCAACAGAGGGAGACCCTGTCCCCCCCCAAAAAAAAAAAAGCATACATATATATATATATAATATTTAAAGAGGGGCATGTAATAGGAGATCAAATCTGAGAAGTAACAATGGTGCATAGGGTGGGGACAGATTGTGCAGGGCTTCTAGGCAATACAAGCTCTGAGCAAAATGGGACATCCTTGAAGGATTTGGAGCTAGAAGCAACCTTTCCACTTTACTGTGATGTAATGGCTGAACTGTGGAGAACACACCTTAGCCTCCAAGATGACCCCCAGAGCCCCCATGTCTTGGTGCTCATGCCCAGGCATAATACCCTTTCTAATCTAGGACTCCTTTCTGCAAAGTAGGCAGATACTTGGAATGATAGCCTATTCTGTGACTTGAATTCTTTGATAGTGTTATTTGCTACCCAGATGAGTCAATATTCAAGTTCCCATAATTTATATGCATTATTTTAAATATGTGCCAACCCAATTTTCATATGTTACATTAGCTTTTCTCTTCCTTGATCACTGCAGTCTTCCGAAAGAAGTTTAGTCAACATTAATACAAATGGAAATCTCCTTTAAAAAAGAAATGGAACTTTTTCACACAGGCTTAAAAACATAATTAACAGTTGACTAGAGACTGTGGAAGAGTGATGTAAAGTTTCTCAAGTTCACGGATATTAGTGCAATGAGAGTACAGCCATCAGAAATCTGAAATGGAGGCTGGGTGCGGTGGCTCCTGCCTGTAATCCCAGCACTTTGGGAGGCCAAGGCGGGCGGATCATGAGGTCAGGAGTTCGAGACCAGCTTGGCCAACATGGCAAAACCCCATCTCTACTAAAAATACAAAAAATTAGCTGGGCACGGTGGCCTGCTCCTGTAGTCCCAGCTACTCAGGATGCTGAGGCAGAAGAATCACTTGAACCCTGGGGGCAGAGGTGGCAATGAGCCGAAATGGTGTCACTGCACTCCAGCCTAAGTGACTGAGCAAGACTCCATCAAAAAAAAAAAAAAAAAATCTGAAATAGAGAGCATGTAAAATAATAGGAGATCCAGGATTTGTGGCGCCTGATGCTTATATACCTTAAGGGTCTCATTTTATCAACAAGAATCCAAAATACAAATGTGAAAGTCATCATTTTTGGGGAAAGAGAAATCAAAATAAATTATGAATGTTATAAAGATGACAAATACCGTAAGCATCACAAATTCCAGAAGAATTACATAATACTTGATTCAGTCACTGCCCGGTGTATTTTGAACACAACTTTCCTATAGCTTTTAGTGACCCATTCTTTGAGTGCTTCTTTGTGTCAATGATTTTGTAACATCCTTTTCAAGAGATAGCAGAGAGATTATTCCGTTTTTCCCACAGTAGCTGTCATCCGAAACTAGTTTTTCGTAGCTTACAGAAGTAACTTTCAGCTTTACAGCTTCTTGTTGATAGTATCAGATAAATTTTTGAGGTTCCTGGTCGAATTTGGGAAAACTACCATCAACTTCTTTCACACATTAACTTTAAAAATGTCAGGGCATCTCATTATTTGTGTGTAATAACTAGTTGTAAATTACTGTTTAATCTTCCTATTTGAAACTTATCTTTTCTTTTCAGTAAATTGCTACTTTCAGTATGATCCTAAACCTTCTTGTACAATTTACTTCTCTGCGTGAGAATAACTTCTACAGATGTCGTTATTCCTATTGCTTCTGTTTCATGTTTTATTGATTTGTATCTGATCTTGCTCTCAGTTCTTTTGTAAATAACTTTTACTTTATTTTACTTTTGAGACTGAGTCTTACTCTGTGGCCCAGGCTGGCGTGCAATGGCATGATCATTGCAGCCTCAACCTCCTGCGCTCAGGTGATCCTCCTGTCTCAGCCTCCCTAGTAGCTGGGACCACAGGCATATGCCACCACACCCAGCTAATTTTTTAATTAATTTGTAGAGACGGAGTCTCCCTACATTGCCCAGGGTGGTCTCGAACTCCTTGGCTAAAGCAGTCCTCCCACCTTGGCCTCCCACCGAAGTTCTGATATTACAGGCATAAGCCAGCACACCTGGCCTGCATATAACTTTAAGGATGCCTAAAAACGGTATCATTTAAAGTCACAAATTTAGAAGTTTGGAATTTCTCACTTTATTGAAACATTCCACAATGGCTTTCTCAATTGCTACTAAAATGGCATAATCCCAGCTTAACTTCCTGTTAGGCCCCAAAAGCTCCCTGTAGCTTCCACCACCGGCTGCAGTGCGGGTAAGTCAAAGTGAAAAGAAACGGTGACCTTAGCCAGTGTGGTTACGTGACTTTTGAGAAATACATACAACGTATGACCATGTGAGCTCCTGAGGGAGGCCCCACAGCTGCTTTAGTTCCGTGGAAAATCCACCTCTGATTGAATGCATAGGTTGCCTTCCACAAAACACGGGAATATATAAACTGCAATTATCAGATTCTGCTATCTCGAGATGAAGAAGGTTAGAAAAACACCACCAATCTTCCCATTGGGACTCTAGACCTCCGCAACTTCTTTTTAAAAATCTATGGCCCGTCAGCCAGGCATGGTGGCTCACTCCTGGAATCGCAGCACTTTGAGAGGCTGAGGCAGGTGGATCACCTGAGGTCAGTAGTTCGACACCAGCCAGGCCAACATGGCAAAACTCCATCTCTACTAAAAATACAAAAAATTAGCTGGGCACGGTGGTGGGTGCCTGTAGTCCCAGCTAGTCAGGAGGCTGAGGCAGGAGAATCGCTCGAAACCAGGAGATGGAGGTTGCAGTGAGCTGAGTTCATGCCACTGCACTGCAACCTGGGCGACAGAGCGAGACTCCGTCTCAATAAAGAAAAATAAGAAAAAATAGTAAAATAAAATAAAATAATATCTATGGCCAGTCAAGTAAACTGCCACATTAGTCATCGGAAAAAGATAATTTATGAGGCACATAAGCAGCTTCAGAAACATTTTGCCTCAAACACTTTCCAAATGTGCATTATTTGTGGCTTAAAGCAAATGTATAATTTACTCATTCACTGATTCATCCATTTCTTTCCTTCTTTGTAATACTCTACATTAGGCCCTAGATACTGGCAATGGAGACAAACATGGGAGATGCTCTATTCCCTGAGCAGTCACGCTCCAGCCAAGGTGACAGGAAACTCAGAAGAGGACAGCAGCTCGTGGACGTCAGTGCCCTTAAGGAAATAAATAAAGCTCTGGCCATGCAGTCAGCTGGGCGGGGTGGGTGGGGGGGCGGGCCACCCTGAGGACAATTAGTCAAAGGATAAGATGTCTTAGCCACTGGTGAGAAGACAAATAAGACTAATGTAGCACAAGAATGATAAGCAGGGGCAGGAAAGGGAGAATAATAGCAGAGAACTTAGAGGAGGAACCAGTGTTAATAATCAGCATTTATGAAATAACAGATTTACCAGGTGATTCATCCAACATCACATGCTAGGAAAGGATACAGCCAGGATAGGAGCAAGACAGGCTGGCTGGAGAGCCATCTCACTACCTCCCAAAAATAACAGTAACAATAATAATAACAGAAAAGTCATAGTAGAGCTGAGATAAGCAAGGAGCGATGCAAACAGGACATGGAATAGCACGTTCCTCCCTAGACCACACACTCCAACTTTTTTTTTTCTTTTTTCTTTTTTTGTTTGTTTTTTGAGACGGAGTTTCACTCTTGTTGCCCAGGCTGGAGTGCAATGCCGCGATCTCGGCTCACTGTGACCTCCACCTCCCGGGTTCAAGCGATTCTCCTGCCTCAGCCTCCCACGTAGCTGGGACTACAGGTCAATGCCACCATGCCTGGCTAATTTTTGTATTTTTTCAGTAGAGACGGGGTTTCACAATGTTGGTCAGGGTGGCCTCAAACTCCTGGCCTCAAGTGATCTGCCCACCTCGGCCTCCCAAAGTGCTGGGATTACAGGCATGAGCCACCACACCCAGCCCAAAGTAGCTTTTTCTGCAGGGGAACTCAGAGGTTTATATATGAATCTGTCAATAATATCTGTACATATCACAATGGCAGAGGCTGGACCAGTCAACATTTTTTTTCTTTCTTTTTTTTTTAACTTGCTCGACCCGGCATATGGCTGAACCTTTTAGTGGATATATTACTGAAGGAGTAAATCTCCTCTAAGCACCTCTGTTTTGGATTCACAGTGAGACATACGTGCTTCGCTAGGAATGGCCTCTACGGGAGCCGAGGGAAGTGGCTGATGCAACCTTCCCTCCACCAGAAACAGATTCCAGCCCTCTCCGATCCCATCGCTGATCCCGTCTCCTCAATCCCACATCAATACTGAGGGCTTTGAGGAGAAGGGCTAAGTGAGAGAAAAGGCAGGGAGGGGCTCTTAGGAAAGTAAGAAATCAGATAAATGCCTAAGAGAAAAAGCAGAAAGAGAGAAAAGGGTAAACAGTCCATATACAGTGATAAACACTGAGAAGGTTAAACAACAGCTGAAAACCACATCACCCAGCTGTCTACAGGCAAGTTGACTTCATTTTCCTCTGTCTTTAGAATGTCAGGTTGCAACCACAAATTAGCCAATTTATATTTCCCCCTTTAGGATTTTCACTTCTAGTCCATCATGTTAAATGTAGTTCCACTGATGAACAAAGTCAGCCGTCCATTTTTTAAACTGAAATCTATTTTTGTCTAATTCACTGCAATTATAAAAAGTCCCAGTCAGGGAATTTCTTAACATTTAACCTCGATGTAAATACTTGTGGACGTGGCTTTCAACTAACTCTTCCCTTCATTTTCAAATCTTCTTACTGCGGTTCCTCACACAATTTGTTTTTTTAGGGGCTGTGATGTTCTCGTAGAAAACAGGGGGATAAGGGCTGGAATATGGGTCATAAGAACACTTTTCCCTGTGGACAGAGATCCATGACCAGATCGAATAAACCCAAGGGTCTTCAAGCCAAGAAAGGATTCCTGCAAAAAGTATTTTTTTTAATATTAAGCTAGAAATTGAAAAGAAAGTTCAAATGGATGACTTGATCTCTTCTGCAAGAGAATGGGTTGGTATAAATTCAGTTTCCGGGAGGACATATAAAAGCATTGATTAAGCTATTCCTTCCTCATGATTCTATTCAGAACCATTGTCCAGAAATGAATTAGATCACGAATTTGGTGGCTTGGGGACATCACACGAATTGCTTTTTTCTCCTTTATGGTAAATGATTTTACAAAATATGTTTTTTTTAAATATTTGAAACTCATCAATATATGTATATATTCTACTCTACAGAACCACCTTGAGAGTGTCACCATTGCTGTTTTACAGTGTCACACACAGCAGTCTCACACGACCAGAGAAAGCTTTCCAGTGTGTAAGTGATTGTCCTGGGAGAAAGCAGAAGTTGAAAGAAACACACCTTTTATAAATTGCTCCAGCCAAAATAACAGCGTCAGTTAACATATCAAATGGCATTTCTGAAATGTCAAAAAGAAGGGAAAATGTCTCGGGCACATGTAATTGAGAAGTAACGCCACACAGCAGAGGCCCTCAGAGGAAACCGTTGACACAGAAACAACTGAAGCCATCCCCGAGACGGCAGGGGTGGATGCCCCGGAGGGAACCTGGCACATCAGATCTGCTCCCACGCAGGGAGTGGTGGAGGGCAGGCTGCTGGAGGGCTGGAAATCAGAGCCCTCCACTCTGGGAAAGCAGCTCTCCTTCTCCTTAGGGCCCTGACAGGCCACTGAGGCACAGAAGGTGACAGGCAATTGAGAGCAAATTAACTGCAGCCACCTTTTGCTTGGAAACCTCACACCTTCACACAGATATAAAGATGTGGGCAACCAAAACAGGTCTCAGCTGAATACACATGCAGAGTAAGCCCTCCCAAGTCTAGCTTGTTATCATTATTTTAAACTGGCTAAAGAAAGGTAGTAACACTATAATCAGTTTGTTTTCACCACCAGTTAGCAACCAAATATAGAGCTATCCAGAAAAATATATGGAAAGGAAAATTTCTATTGTAATACCAACATGAACATCAAAAAGTAAGCACACTCCTTATCTCCCACCATCAAATCATGACTTGCCATGTGATGATTTATCAAGGAAGTGACAGCATTCATACCACTCTGTTACCATGAAAATATGCATGAAGTCAGAAGCATATATGGTAACAGTGGTATGAATGCTGTCCGTTCTCTGATAAATTATTGCAAAGATTCCCTAAACCCAGAAGCCACTCTCTATAGTAATTTTTCTTTTTGCCTTGTTATTAAATACTTATAATCTTTGTCTTTAAAAACATCTAGCTGGACACTTCCAGAAGGCTGGTTAGGTACCTATTCTTCTTTTCTTTTTATTTCTTTCTCTCTTTCTTTCTTTGTTTCTTTTTTTTGACAAGGTCTCGCTCTGTTGCCCAGGCTGAAGAACAGTGCTGCAATCTCGGCTCACTGCAACCTAACTCTGCTTCACGGGTTCAAGCGATTCTCATGCCTCAGCCTCCCAAGTAGCTGGGATTACAGACACACACCACCACATCTGGCTACATTTTGTATTTTTAATAGAGACAGGGTTTCACCATGTTGGCCAGGCTGCTCTTGAACTCCCGGCCTCACGTGACCTGCCTACCTTGGCTTCCCATGTGCTGGATTACAGGCATGAGCCACAAAACCCAGCCAGTGCCTATTTTTCTTGACAATAATACATATAGAACTGTTTGGACCAGAATTTATCAAGGAGTCAACATCTTAATGTAGAAAGAGGGTGAGGTTTGAAGCCAGAAGACCTGGGATCAAGTTGTGGGCTGTCAGTCCCAGGTCTTCTGGGTTCAAATCTCATCCTTTCAAATCACTGATTAACTTCAGGCAACTTACTGTCGTTAAACTTGAGTTTCCCATCTATAAACTAGAGATGATGAAACTTCCCTTTCTGAATTGTCTAAATAAGTTCTGAGATCTAAATAAGTTCATGCATTTGAAGAATGCTTTATAAAATGTAGATGGAATGATGTTTATGGGTAAGGTCCCCTGTTAGGTGTTAAAGGTGACGCCAATGATACCAGGTGGCTACTGGTAAAAGACAGGGCAAAGAATCTTATCTTACTGTGACACAGGTTAAGAAAATGTAATGCAATTTAATTGGATTATCTCTACAAAAACCCTCAAAGCTGTTACATGAAAGGGGTCCCGATTCAGACCCCAAGAGAGGGTTCTTGGATCTTGCACAAGAAAGAATTCAGGACAAGTCTACAGAGTAAAGTGAGAGCAAGTTTATTAAGAAAATCAAGGAATAGAAGAATGGCTACTCCATAGGCGGAGCAGCGGCGTGGGTGGCTCATCTAAGGATACTCGCTATCTTTTCATCACATGCTAAACAAGAGCTGGATTATTCCTGCGTTTTCCAGGGAAGGGGTGAGCAATTCCTGGAACTGAGGGCTCCTCCCCTTTTTAGACCCATATCCAGTAACTTCCGGATACTGCCATGGCATTTGTAAACTGCCATGGTGCTGGTGGGAGTGTCTCTTAGCATGCTAATGAATTATAATTAGCATATAATGAGCTGTGAAGATGACCAGAGGTCACTCTCACCGCCATTATGGCTTCGGTGGGTTTTGGCCGGCTTCTTTACTGTAACCTGTTTTATCAGGTTTATCGTGACCTGTATCTTGTGCCGACCTCCTATCTCATCCTGTGACTTAGAATGCCTAACCTCCTGGAATGCAGCCCAGTAGGTCTCAGCCTTATTTTATCCACTCTCTATTTAAGATGGAGTCGCCCTAGTTCAAACACCTCTGACAAAGCTACCATTTTATGAAGAAAATATGATGTTGAGTCGAGGTTGCAAACTCAAATGCTAACATGGGCCAAGAAGATTATGTACTGAGAAGTGAAGCTTGGGAGCGATAAACACAGGTGTAGAAGCATCCCAGTGACTGGCAAGTGGTAATCAGCCTCAGTGCAGGGCTGTAGGGAGTGCTGGAGACTGTGGCAAAGTGTAGTGAGAACTCAACTCTGGCCAGTTGTTCCAATCAAGGAAATTTGGATCTAGTCTTCCCAGATTTCCAGGGTTTTCAAGAAAAGATAGAAATCTAGATGTGTATGTAAAGTCCTCCAGTTTTGAACCTTGCCTTATATTATGAACCTGCCCCCCTCCCCCCAAAAAAAAGCACCATGTGGATTGATACTGTGTCCAGAAAACACAGGTGCAATCAGGTCCATTTGTCAGTAGCCTCCTCCTGAGGCAAGAGGACAACAGGCTGAGAGAGGAGGGTTTAGAAGTTGAGTAATTGTCTTATTGATGTCAAAATTCACTGAAATGGTTCATTAGCTCATGAGGACATTCGGAGGCTATCAAAGAAGGCCGGCATAAGGAAAGAGAAAGCTAAAGTCAAGGTCTGGTCATTTGTGGGAAATGGCCTCTGAGATCACCTGGCCTTGAATGAAACTTTTTTCCCCCTCTTCTTGCTAAACATTCCTGAGGACAGTATGCATCAAGATGAAAGCAAAACATTCCTCTCTGGCCAGAGTCTGTGACAAAAAAAGGATTGAGGGATGGATGGGTGCAGGGAGAGTGGGTGGGGGCAATTCTTTCTAATCGTATCAGCTGAGCATGGGACAGTGCACGGCACATTCAGAAAAAAACTTCCTGGAGAAATGTGAAGCCAGCAGGGTTCAACTCATTTCTGCTGTTTTTGCAGCAATATTTTTATGATGTTAGACAATAAAAAGAGACAATGTGTACAAAAATCAACACCACTTGTTTTTATAAAAAGCGATCGTCAAAACAAAGGTTGGCTTTGATCTTGGAAAGAAATACTCATTTGTTTATGTATCTGATGAGAATCTTAATTCCTTAAGCCAGGAGCTCTGAAATAACCAGAGCATTTAGAGCTGAATAAAACGACAGAAAAGTGAGTTTATCAACCCCTTTAATTTAACTTGTACGTAAGACAGGGGTGTAGGGGATGGGAGTGAAGGGCGTTACTAACAATTCATTAAGAGCTGCTACTCCCAACATATATTAAGAGACAGAATTATTAGTATTTTTCTAAATTACAAATAAAATATATACATATCAATTGGTTCAAAATAACTACTTCAGTTGAGACCACTAATACTGTAGTGATGTTTTTAACCTTCCACAGCTTCAGTAAGGTCATCTCTGGGTACAGAAGTAAAAAGAAATTGTTTTTCCGATTTCAGTTAGTTCGAAATAACTGCTTCAATTGAGGCCACTAATACTGTAGTGATTTTTTTTTTATCTTCCACAGCTTAAGTAAGGTCAGCTCTGGGTACAGAAGTAAAAAGGAAATTTTTTTCTGGGCACAGTGGCTCACACCTATAATCCCAGGACTTTGGGCGGCTTTGGGAGGCCAAAGTGGGAGAATCACTTGAGCCCAGGAGTTCCAGCCTGGGCAACACAGCGAAACACTATCTCTACAAAAAAACATAAAATAAAATAAAGCTAGTTGGCCGGGTGTGGTGGCTCACACCTGTAATCCCAGCACTTTGGGAGGCTGTGGTGGGTGGATCACGCAGTCAGAAGTTCGAGACCAGCCTGGCCAACATAGTGAATCCCTGTCTCTACTACAAATACAAAAAATTAGCCAGGCATGGTGGGGTGCACCTATAGTCCCAGCTACTCAGGAGGCTGAGGCAGGAGAATCGCTTGAACCCAGGAGGGTAGAGGTTGTAGTGAACCGAGATCTCACCACTGCACTCCAGCCTGGGCAACAGAGCAAGACTCCATCTCAAAAATAAATAAATAAAATAAATAAAGTTAGTCGCACATGGTGGTGTGTGTCTGTGGTCCCAGCTACTTGGTAGGCTGAGGTAGGAGGCTCGCCTGAGCCTGGAGAGTTCAAGGCTACAGTGAGCCATGATCGCACCACTGCACCTCAGCCTGGATGACAGAGTGAGACCCTGTCTCAGGAAAAAAAAAAAAAAAGAAAGAAACAAACAAACAAAAGAAAATTTGGATATTTGCTCCTGATGTAAAAAAGAAACTCAGCATTTCAGATTGCAAATATACATTTATAATTGCAAAAATAATACAAAGGAATAATTTTAGGGAAAAATACAATACATATATGTATATATGAGACCAAAGGGAACGCCTCTGGTCTTATGTCTGGGTAACTATGACATGAAGATAAGTGGCCTCCAAAACAGCTCTCTGCCCTGTGCTCTGACTCAATCATTCATTTAAGTTACACGAGTTTATGGAGAGATCAATGTGCCAGGCCCAATGATAAGCACAGCACAGAAGCTACAAACCAGGCCTTCAGGACCTTGTCCTCCGGGGGCTGTCCTCAGCTCCCTGTCTGACCCCTGCAGGTAAGGATCTCCTGATTTGGTTAATTCCTTGAGGAATGTCCCCTGAGGTTAAGAACAATGTGTATCCTCAGTGAGTAGCAGAGTGCCTTTGTACACAATGCCCATGTGATGAATTAGGTGAGTTAATAACATGAGGGGCTGGAACGAAGGAGGAACGGAATGCCTTGAGAAGTTTTAGAAAACTAGTTTGTGTCTGGGGCACCCTAAGCCTTGGAGGAAGCTGTGACTCAGTCCCAGAGCAGCGGTGATAGTAACTAACCCCAGACACTGACGTGCCAGGCTCCGTTTTGCCAGGAAATTCCCCTTAGTGAGAAGGACGGGTTTGTTCTCATTTATGGCTTTCTCCACCTCTCTTGAATGAACAGGAGTCTCAGGAAATGTCTGGGAACCGGAGACTATGGAAAATAAAATTTTTAAAATGTGAAACACAGCAAAGTTTTTTTTTTCTTTGTTTTGAGACAGAGTCTCGCTCTGTCTCCCAGGCTGGGGTGCAGTGGCCTCATCTCACCTCACTGCAGCCTCCATCTCCCAGGTTCAAGCGATTCTCGTGCTTCAGCCTCCCAAGTAGCTGGGACTACAAGGCATGAACCACGATGCCCGGCTAATTTTCTGTATTTTTAGTAGAGATGCGGTTTCCACATGTTGGCTGGGCTGAGTCTTGAACTCCTGGCCCCAAGCCCACTTTGGCTTCCCAAAGTGCTGGGATTACAAGTGTGAGCCGCCGCACCTGCCCAGCTCACAGCAAAGCTTTTTGAGAATGTGATAATAATCTGGTAATAATGGCTCTTCACCAAGTAACTAAGGTATTTCACAGCTTTCCTGGCTTAACCAGTTAGGTTAAGGAAAAGAGAAGCCCCCAAGGTGAGGTGAGGCCTCCTGGAATTAGGGCTGGAATCCACTGATAAGTAAGGGTCTGAGTCTGCCTACCCAATTTTACATTCGCTGGTAAAGACTGGAGTCCTTTTATTCCCTAATTATGTGGCTCATGGATCATCTATTTAGATCTACATAGATCCTTCAGGATCTATTTTTATCTATCATCTGTTGCTGGAATTTGTTGTTAAATGAACTGACTGTACTTTATGTTTCATCACCCCTTGCACACACTCACAGGCGTCCATCTCTGCGCGGTTAATCTGAGCCAGGAGTTCCCTGTGACGTCAGTAATAACTGACCTATTTATCTGTGTCCCGGGCTGCTGATCTCAAAGTAGAGGTTTAAAGGAAAGAACACCAGAAATCATTACCTTCTTGCCTGTATAATTAGTAATAGGAAAAACCCAGAAAGAGACAGAGAGAAAGGGGGGAAAAAATCCTCTGAGAACCCTGGTATATGTGGCCGGCTAATTCAAAAAAGTCCCAGGGTAAGTTGGAAAACGCGTTCTTTAAGACCAGATCAAGGTCTCTGCTCGTCATCAGGAAATATGATTTGTGCTAACACAGGCCTTCCGTTAAAAACCTCCCGGGCAAGTTAGCTAAGGACAGCAGGTCTGACCTATGAGTTAACCAAAACATTACCTCATCTGCAAAGAACTCCAAGAACCATTCAGATCCTGAGGTCCAAAATCCTTTTTCTAGGTTTCTGTAAGTTTCTCACTTTCAAAGCATGTACAAGTGTGGCTCCTCTGTCTCCCAAAGGCAGGCAGCTTGGGGCCGCACTGCTGTCATCAGTAGAAAAAGGCAATGTCAGAAGTTCTTTGAAATTTCCGAACAATGACAGGCGTTAACATTTTTCCAAAATACTGCTACCAAATTCTAAGGTGATAAATATGAAAGAAAAAAATTCGTAAGCATTTCAGAAAATAAAGAGTGGATATGCAGAAGATAATGAAAACGATTAGGCCTCCATCTCTACCCGAAGCTGCCTAAACAGCTCCCGAGGGGAGGAGGGCTCTTCAGATCCGCGGGGCGGGGCTCCCAGGCAGCCTACAGCACCAGGACAGCATCCATCTCCCCCTCCGCGGCTGCAGAAGGTCAAGTCAGCATTGCTTCCTTCTTCCCGCGCAGCTGGAGTGGAGCGCCCACAGCCCCCTTTACAAAATAATAATAATAATAATAATAATAATAATAATAATAATAATAATAATAATAATAAACAAGTGATGGAAAAGATCGGGCTCTGTTCTTGTTGCAGCGGGGGTGAAGCTCCCAGGAGCCCCCAGACCTTGGGTGTATGGCTACCTGATATATTTGCTATATTAGTGCTCCCTGATGTTAAACAAATAGAATACTCTTTTTAGGTTAGTTGGAGTTTAACTGTGTTTTAACTAAGGGGTGCAGCTTTGGCCTACGGGCTAGAAAGTTTGGTTAGGAGGTTAGCACTGATGATGCGAAAAATGGTCAAGATGGTAACGTGGCCTTCTGCAGGAGAGGGGGCGATGGACGCTGTCATTGCACTGTAGGTTGCCTGGGAGCCCGCCCAAGGGGTCTGAAGCCAGCTTCAGCTGCAGCACAGAGAACAGCTCTTGAGTGTCTAGGGAATGGGGCTTGCTGCCGCTTTGGCTTTGCATCTGAGGGAGAGTGCTTTGCTAGGTGGATGTGTGTTAAGTGAGGAGAAGTAGGGAGGTATAACTCCAGCAACTACGCAGTCTCCTTGCCAGTGAGTCCCGTTTCTCATCCATATAATGCTGGTCACAGACAAGCAAAGAAGGAAGAATTTTGGAGTCAGGATTACTTCAAGCTGCATTCGAATCCCATAAAAGTGACTTATTTCTGACTATAGATCGTCAGCCTGGCAGGTCCAGCTCAAGGACCTTCCAGGGAATGGAGCAGCAGTGCTGGTGAGGCAGTTGGAACCTGCCTGCAGTCCTGGGAGCCTCCTTTAATAGAACTACAAAAGTCAACGTCACTCAAATGCCACTCTGTGTCTGCATGGGGGGGAACAAAGCCCTAAAAAGCTAAATGGCAAATAATTAAGAAAGATTGTAAACAAATGTTAGTTTGATAAAGATAATAAAATTAGGCCACACTAACTTTGAAAGCAACTAGATGGTAAGAAATCTTTCTTTTAAAATGCTGCACAAATTACATTCGGTTCTCTCGATGAAATGATCAATATCATTTTTCTAAGTCTAGGAGTCTCCAGAGACTTGACATGGAAACCTCGTATCCATGTGATAGATTTATTTTATTTTTTATTTTTTTGAGACAGAGGCTCGCTCTGTTGCCCAAGCTGGAGTACAGTGATGTGATCGCGGCTCACTGCAGCCACCACCTCCCAGGTGATTCTCCCACCTCAGCCTCCCAAGTAGCTGGGATTACAGGTGCGCAGCACCATGCCTGGCTAATTTTTGTATTTTTTAGTAGAGTCGGGGTTTCACCATGTTGGCCAGGCTGGTCTCAAACTCCTGACCTCAAGTGATCCACCCGCCTCGACCCTCCAAAGTGTGGGATTACAGGCATGAGCCACTGTGACTGGCCCATGTGACGGATTTTAAATGATGATAGTATTAAAGGATTTTGGTTTCCTTGTGATTTCCTTTATACATCCACTTACTACTGTAAGTTTCCTTTTTTTTTTTTTCACATTTCTTTAAACGTAATTCCTCCACCTGTTCCCTACACATCACTCCCTGCTTTTCTACACAGAAACAGTGTTTGTTTGGTTGTTTCCATTTTGCCCCCTTTCCCACGACTTCAACCTCTTCTGTTTCACTTCGTCTTCCTCCTTTTTTCCTGTAGTCTGGATCCTGTTTTATTTTGGAGGTGGAAGATGTGGTTGGGTCTGACGTTTTATTTTGGAGGTGGAAGAAGTTGTTGGCTCTGCTGTATCCTCCAGTTACCACCTTGAACTCTCTTTCTGCTTTGTTTTGTTGTTGTTTTCAGTAAAGGATGATTTGCCTTTGCCATTTCTCTATTACTCATTCCCTGCAGGTGAGCACAGTGGACCCCATGTTTTCTGCTCCAAGCAGCTGCCTGAACAGCATTACCCCTGCTCATCAATCAGAGCCTCCAGCATTCCCTCAATTTGCTCTACACCCCAGGCCGCCCAGCCCTGGGACATGACGACCCTGCCAGCGTCCTCCTGCCCCCAGTTTCTTCTCCTCTACTCCTTCCTGAACCCCACTTATCTGAAATTTCCCCACATAACAATAGTCTCTGGTTTTCTTTATCTAATTTGCATGAAAATGACTACCACATTTCACAATTTCAGCAATTTGTATTAAGGAATATTGGGAATGTCTTTGCATGACAAACATCTTATAAAATCAAATGTTTACCATGAATGATGGAAAATTCATCTACAACCATTTTTACATCATCAATGCTAACCTCCTTATAAACCTTTCTAGCCCATAGACCAAAGTTGCACCCATGAATTAAGACATGGTTAAACTCTAATTAATATGAAAGGAGTATTCCCTTTGTTTAATTTAACATGGCCAGGTGTGGTGGCTCATACCTGTAATCCCAGCACTTTGGGAGGTAGAGGTGGGTGGATCACCTGAGGTCAAGAATTCAAGACCAGCCTGACAAACATGGTGAAACTCCATCTCTACTGAATACAAAAAATTAGCCAGGAATGGTGGTGCATGCCTGTAATCCCAGCTACTTGGGAGGCTGAGGCAGGACAATCGCTTGAACCCAGAAAGTGGAGGTTGCAGTGAGCAGAGATTGTGCCATTGCACTCCAGCCTGGGCAACAAGAGCAAAACTCTATCTCAAAACAAAAACAAAACAAAACAAACAAACAAAAACCATTAAGGAATGCTAATATAGCACATATATCATCAGTCATTTTGTCGATATGTAGTCATAGGTTTCGAAGTGTGAAAGAGACTGGCCCTTATGATTCAATCAAAGGAAAACACATCCGTGTGTTTGGGGATTCTGTTAGCTTGCTGTCAGCTCCACGACCTCCCTTCCACCTTGGGATCTAGGATGCCAAAGCTGGGACCTGCAAGCTGCCTGCAGTACAGGGCACCAGATGGGCCCACAAGCTGGAGGAGGAAGAAGGGCTCTGGGTCCTTCATGTTTGCTTCCTGGGGCTTCTTGGCCTCTGCTTCTGTGGCCATCACACTGGTCACACTGCTTCCTCTGGGCAGGAGCTGGCTCCAGTATGGAGCTTATCCTTCCAAAACCACCTTTATTACACACCCGTTCCCATGACCCCAGCTGCAGTCACAGGGACCTCCTCCCAGAGCCCCTGCTCTGAGCTCAGAGATACTGACCGCACCAGGGAGCACCTCCACTTCAGACCTGTAGGGTCCCTTCTCTATGTGGCTAAGCATCAATAATTTCCACCACTTCCCTTTGTCCTGCTGCCCTGAGGGTGACAGCTGTTTCTTGTGATTGCTACCTGCACAGCACCTCAGGGCTCTCTTTTTCTCTTTCAGTTAACAATTATACTGATAGTTCACGCTTCTTGTATTGAATGCTCTCTGCTCCAATAACTGAAGTGGTTTCTGTCTCCTCGTAGGATCCTTCAGACTTGTCTTAAAAATAGTGATTATGGACCAGAGAAGCCATTGCTTGAGAAGTTGGTATCAGGCTTCATCCATAAGACCTTTCCTCATAATTTTTCTTGACCAAGAGCTTACCAAAGTGCATTGACTAATGGGGCATAATTGACCACTAAAATCTACAGCAGCATTTTCATAAATGTTCAATCAAATTCAAGTGCAGTTTTCCAATTTTTACCACAGGTGTGGACCCTGGGGAGCCCTACATGGGTCTCCACTTTGGAACCAAGGTTTTTGATATGGTTTGGCCATGTCCCCACCCAAATCTCATCTTGACTTGTAGCTCCCATAATCCCCACGTGTCATGGGAGGGACCCAGTGGGAGGTAATTGAATCCTGGGAGTGGGGCTTTCCTGTGCTGTTCTCATGATAGTGAATAAGTCTCACAAGATCTGATGGTTTCATAAAGAGCAGTCCCCTGCACATGCTCTCTTGCCTGCCACCATGTAAGATGTGCTTTTGCTCCTCCTTCACCTTCCGCCATGATTGTGAGGCCTGTCCAACCATGTGGAATGTGAGTCCTCTAAACCTCTTTTTCTTTATAAATGACTCAGTCTCAAATATTTCTTCATAGCAGTATGAAAATGGACTGATACAGCCTGTTTCCCCCGTGTGGGAAGTGTTGTCTGGTGTTCACTTACATCTGGGTCCTTACAGCATTTGCCTTCAATTGACGAGAGCTGGTGGGCTCAAGGCTACACCCTGCTCCTTGGGAGCAGCCAACATCCAGTGACAGGTCCCTTCAGGGGTGCAGAGTTCTTGTCTTGGCTTGTCTGGGAGCAGCTCTGAAGCACCATCCCCATTTCTGAGCTCTCTGTGAGATCAACTGGGTCCTCTTCAGCAGGTGTTCCATGGTCTAGTTCTTCCCTCCTCCCAGTCTTGCTTCACTCACCCCCAATGGGTGTTGCTCCTGCTCTTTACCCATGTCTGTCTCACATCTGGCTTCCTGAGTACACCTCCTATGGCATCTAAACTATGCCTGAATGGTGCTCCCAAGAGTTGTTACTTCTCCCTGTCAAACAACCTCAAGGAGACTGCACGTGGAATGCTGTCATACCTGCTCGACAAATGCTAACGCTAAACATGAGTTGCTACTCAGTCAATAGTTTCATCTCAGAAATCACCTTTGCAAAAATTATATCAGTAAGAAAAATTATAACAGTAAGGGGAGCTAACTACCCCTACCCCTCTTGCCTTTCCCTTAATTATTCCTGGGCTATTGAGCCGAGCTGACTTTGGAAGACATTTAGGCTACAGTATAAATAATAATAGGCCTTATCCAAAACTCGATGGCTTTTATAAAGCTAATGGGAGGCTGTCAGTCTAGGGAGAATAGAGGAGCCAAGTCCTGCTAAGGTGCAGACATGAAGGATTTTCGGCCATTATTTATAAGATATGCAACTTCCGCAATATCTCCTGAAAATAACACCACTCTTGTAGATGGGTCTTTTGAGATTTTTCAGGTTTTTTGCATGTCTGACACTCATGGTTCCACCTGGACCTGCCAGCCCCGCTCCCGTGGCCCCGCCCAGAAGCAATTCAGCCTGCGGGAGGACAGCTTCAACACCCTGTGATTTCATCTCTGCTCCAATCAATCAGCAGCAAGCACCTGTTACCTGAACACTCCCACCCCTTTCTCAAACTGTCTTTGAAAAACCCCTAACCAGCCAGGCACAGTGGCTCATGCCTGTAATCCCAGCACTTTGGGAGGCCGAGGCAGGTCGATCACCTGAGGTTGGGAGTTTGAAACCAGCCTGGACAACATGGTGAAACCGTATCTCTACTAAAAAATACAAAAAAAGCCCAGTGTTGTAGCACATGCCTGTAATCCCAGCTACTCAGAAGGCTGAAGCACGAGAATAACTTGAACCCAGGAGGTGGAAGTTGCAATGAGCCAAGATCATGCGATTACACTCCAGCCTGGGTGACAGAGTGAGACTTTTTCAGAAAAAAAAAAAAAAAAGAAAAAAAAAGAAAAAAAAAGAACAACAACAACAAAAAAAAAAAACAGAAAAAGAAAAAAGAAAACCCCTATCCTATGAGCTTTGGAGGAGGTGATTTGAGTACAAATTCCATCTCCCACATGGTATGGCTGTCCTCATGTCTATTAAACTTTTTTCTTTACTACAATGCCATGATCTTTCTTCATGCACCAGGCAGGAAGAAACCCCTTGAGTGGTTTCATCTGCAGGAGAAAAAGAATAAGCGGAATATCTAAAACCGAGAAAAAATAGAAAGGAAAATAAAGATCGTAGAACCTCACCAAAATCAATGTTGCAAGGAATTACCGATGCTAAGTGTGGTTAATAACAAATGATAGAAAGACTGTATAGATGTTTGACCTTAGGAGTTATCAGAAAAAAGAACAGACAGAAGTCATTTGGAATATATCCATACCCCTTGCCCCTGCCATAAAGCAGGGGACCCCAGTCTGGAAGGAGCTCTCCACAGGAACAAGGGCGGTTGGAGGATGAGGCTCAAGGAAACAAACTGGAGAGAGAGAGATGCTATCAGCCTCATTCCAGAGTTATAGAACGTGGATGAAATAAATGCACCTGACGATTGGTGCTATGGACGGAATGTTCATGTTCCCATCCTCAAATTCATCTGTGGAAGTCCTGACCCCAGTGTGGCTGTATTTGGAGATAGAGTCTTTATAGAAGTAATTAAGGCTAAATTTGGTTGTAAGGGTGGGACCCTGATCCAACAGAATCAATGTCCTTGTAAGAAGAGCCAGGAGAGAGCTTGCTTTCTCTCCACTATGTGAGGACACCGTGAGGAGGCAGCTCTCTGCAAGCCAGAAGAAGAGCCCTCTCTGGAAACCAAATCAGCAGGTACCTCCTGCCTCCAGAATTGGGAGAAATCAATGCCTGCTATTTCAGCTGCCTAGACTGTGATGTTTTATTACAGCAGAAACACAAGTGGTTAAATGGTTACTACATTAATTCTGTTTGCATAGTGAAATTCCAAGATTAATAACTAAATATTCACACCATCTGGACATTTTCTTCAAATTCCGGAGCTTTGCAGCCCTTTCTGAACTGAGAGTTCCTGACTCTGAGTCCTAAGCTCTCTCTGGAAGTTGAGATCTTAATATGACTTAGCTTTCTGCTGGCTAAATGCTTGCCAGGATTACAGAATCAAACAGTAGTCCACCTTGGCAAAATGCAAAGCAACTCATCAAACTATAAGACGTATGAATGATCTTATGGCACTTCTGGGAAATATTATTTATTTCCTAATAGTCACTAACATCTACTGAGTCCTAAGGTTGCCACTCCAAGTGTATTACTATGTTTAACAGTAGCCTTTTTGAATAGGAAATATGCTACCTCTATTACAGAGATGAGTAAATAGCCTGTGGTACGAAGAAGTTAGGGGAATTTCTCAAGGTCAAACAGCTTATAAAGGGTTGATTCAGGATTAGAAAGCAGAGAGTCTGACCGGGGAGTCAGCCGACTCCGTCATGATCCTGGGATGCTCCTGGTCAGCCGTTTTCTCCGGAGTCAGCCTGGGCTTTCTTCTGTTGCTGTGAGTCTCCAGCACACCTGGTGTCTATCATGAAGAGTTTTCATACAGGGAAATAACTCCAAACTTCACCTTGCATAACTAAACCCTAGCCAAACACCCACAAAACAGCGGAGAGTCTCCTTTTCCCTTTCCCTTAGTGTTTACACGGAACAAACACAAACCAATGGCTTAATAATCCCAACAAGTGAGAAGTATCCATCCAAATGAATGTTAGGCTTGGGTGATGTGAAACGTAGACTGGCCTCACTGAACCAACTCTTTACTAGGGTTCCCTTTTTCTTTACTTTATGAAAACACTATATTAGTTTTATATTAATTTTAGTACTTTAAGAATGATAGTACTGACTAATATTAATTTTTAATCAATATGACTCAGAGAAAAATATACACACATTTCTCAAAGAAATATATACAGTCATCCTGGGTAAAGGAGGTGGATCGGTCAGGAATCCCAGGTATACCTAAATCTGCAGGCATGTACAAAAAGTCAGCTGTTGATATATGTGAATTTTGCCTCCCTCCAATGCTATATTTTGGATCTGCGATTTGCTGGAAAAAATCCCTGTAAAAGGGGGACCCATGCAGTTCAAACTGGCCTTGTTCAAGGGTCACCTGTACATTCACTTGTGTGTGTCATAGGCACTAATACGTTACTTTCTCCACTAAGATTTCCCGTACTTTTATTTGGAAGACAGTTTATTTCTGTTTTTTGTTGGTTTGTTTTTGTTTTTTTTGCTTGTTCTGTTTTTCTTTCTATCTTTCTTTTTTTTTTTTTTCTTTTTGAGATGGAGTTTCACTCTGTCACCCAGGTTGTAGTGCAGTGGAAACGATCCCAGTTCACTGTCACGTCCGCCTCCCGGGTTCAAAGGATTCTCCTGCCTCAGCCTCCCAAGTAGCTGGGATTACAGGTGCATGCCACCACGCCTGGCTAATTTTTATATTTTTAGTAGAGACGGGGTTTCATCATGTTGGCCAGGCTGGTCTCAAACTCCTGACCTCAAGAGATCTGCCCACCTCGGCCTCCCGAAGTGCTGGGATTACAGGTATGAGCCACCACGCCCAGTGGAAGACAGTTTATTTCTAAATCCCAACTCTCTATATGATACTCTATCAACAGAAAACATTGAAAATTATAATCTGTTTGAATTGGACATTCAGTTTTAAGTAATTCAAAGAATGCTTGCATTATTTATTTTTATGGTGCTTTGCCAGATTTTTTCACAACTACCGGAAACTATCATCTGTAAAAGGGTTCCCCTAAAAATTATACATGGGTATTTTATATATATTTGCATGTGTAAATATAGGTATATATCTTCACACATGCATAGAGCCTGCAGAGATTAAGCAACTGCAGGCTGGCTTGTTGTAAGCATGCAGACAAAAGTGTCAGGAATGATAGTACCCAGTATTTACTGAACACCTGGTATGTGTTAGGTATTGTTCTAAGCACCTTATTTTCATGCATTCACACACTCCTTAGCACGTGAGGATGGCATTGCTTTCATCCACATTTTTGGTGCTTTCATATGAGTTTTTCTTTGACCGTTGAGGGCATCTTCCATGGCCACCAAGCCAGCATTAGAAAGCTGGCCGCTTCCTTTTTCAAAGGAAAAGGACTTGGTCACCATTTTATTGTCAGTTTTAACAAGGTCAAGTAGACTCATTATGATTCATTCTGAAGTTGATGCCATTGAGTGAAATTATTCAGCATAAAAATAAAAGCAAAAGTAATTATTTGATTGCGTCTATTTATGTGAAACTACAACCTCTTGATTCTTAGAATATTATACAATCCTTTTAACAATGAGATAATATGCAAGGAAAACCCATGGAACAAAATCCCCTGGAAAACCCTAAATTTTTTTTTAGAGCTTTCAAATATATTCTTCCTCCAAAACATAATCTCAGAAGAGTGAATTGCCTTTGGAAGACTTCCACACAGGGAACACTGCTGTTATAACATAACAAGTAGTAAAGTGCCATCAAGCTTCTAAAGTAAGGGAGAACAGAAAAGCAGAAGGCAATTTTGTTTAAGAAAACAACTGCATTTGTTACACAATAACATAACAAAAGGAAATGAGACCACACTCTCTTAGAGAATTCTGAAGCCTTAATTACATTGTAAATTTTGGGAATTAATATGGTACAGGCAGCTTCTAAACTCATTCACAGGTCAGTCACTGACTTTCTGATTAGAGCATTAACCTGTCTCTGACAATCAGCTATAATTCCATTATGTATTTTTCCCAACAATATGAATCATATTGATCCTAAGGCTCAGAGAAGATTTCGGTAAGCTGAAAGGAATTTGGTAATGACAATGTGAACAGATGAATTTTGCATCTTCCCTGATCTGTCCCACCTCTGTAAGAAGAAAGTATGCTGCATTTGCTTATTGAAAAGGACCCGAGAGATTCCAGTCAGCCCAGTCTCTTTATCGTACAAGGAAGCCAAATTCAACTAAGACTGGACCGACCTGGCAGGGTGGCTCACATCTGTAATCCCAGACTTTGGGAGACTGAGATGAGAGGATCACCTAAGGTCAGGAGTTTGAGACCAGCCTGGCCCACATAGTGAAACCCTGTCTCCACTGAAAATACAATAATTAGCCAGCCGCAGTGGTGGGTGCCTGTAATCCCAGCTACTTGGAGGCTGAGGCAGGAGAATCGCCTGAATCCAGGAGGCAGAGGTTGCAGTGAGCCGAGATGACATCACTGCACTCCAGCGTGGGAGACAGAGTGAGACTCTATCTCAAAAAAAAAAAAAAAAAAAAAAAGGCTGGATAGCCTGAATCTTATACTAGAAGAAAAACCCCAAATATGCCCAGGCTAAAGTCATCTGGGGACCCATTGTTTTGGGTGGTGGCCTCTAATTAGGGCTTGAACAAATTTGATAAAAATCTGTGTTTTGGAGAGTTTCCCGTTGGAGGTGAGGCTCCTAGACCAGGTACTTGGTCATCCCCTGAGAGCTCATCAGCCAGGCAGAGGCTCAACTCCCACCCAGGCCTGCTGAGCCAAAATCTGCCTTTCAACAAGGCCCATGGGTGATCACTGTGTGCATGAAAGGTTGGAAACACTGGCTTAGGTGATACTGCTAAGATTGAGATCAGAGAAGGACTTGTTTTTCTCTAGGGCTTTCCATTTACAAGTCAGCTGACTATTCCGGGAACCACACTGATGGAAGCTCTCAGGAGCTTTTGTCTTGATTGGAAAACACTACCTCAGCCAGGAGTCAGGTCAGGAGATGGAAAGGTGATGGGCAGAAGCTGGAGGAGCTGGAGGAGCTGGAGGAGCTGGAGGAGCTGGAGGATCTCCATGACAGGGGAGATGCACTTCCATAGATGCATCTTCGTGCAGATACAGAGGAATCTGGCACTTTCTGAACCTCGAGATCCAATTGATAAGGAAGGAAAATCAGTAAAATGTAACAATGGCCATGCACATCAATAAAATGTAACCACAGATACAGCAAAATGAAAGTACTCTGTGATCAAAGGTGGCACACTCTCTTCCTGTAGGCATGGGACAAATCAGAAATGATGAAAAAATGCATCACTTCAAGTTTCAAAATGCAGGTGACTTCTAACATCTCAGATTTTTCAACAACTCGGCACAGTAGGTGGTATTTTCCTTATGTTACAGATGAGGAAACCAAGGCTCAGGGGAGTCTAGTCAGGGCCCCAATTCACACAGCTACTAAATGTCTGAGCTGGGGTTCACACTTACCTGTCTGACTGCCTAACACCCACACTCTAAGGCATCCTGAGTTTACATTTGTCACCACCTTTAGTTCATTGTTGACCCTTCCCCCAAAGCAGTACAATTTTTTTTTTTACATTTGCCAAGTACTATGTTGTATTTGCATACCAATCCCTTTTAGTGCCAAATTTAGGAGGGAAACCCCATTTATTAATAAATATGTCCTTAAAGGAGGACATACTCAAAAGGAAAGTGAAAAAGCAGGCTTCTGACATAGCTTGTTAAATGGGTCAGAGTGTAAAGAAGCAGGTGTGCGCACTGGAGTACATTGTCTCCAAGCATCTGGCAGAAAACCACAATGTCATGGGATTGTGCAGACAGCTCCCCTTCCTTCCCTCAAATAAAAGCAGTGTCCACATTTCCGCTGTGATGGGCACTGCTTCCCTCCTTTCCCTATGTGAGCTGAAAACTCACCCCTAGGAGTCAAATTTAATCAATTACACAAAACTATTTTACCGGACGTGGGTTGTGAGCTGGAGGTAAGGCTCAGTTCCGTTTCTAAAGGAGTCCACAAGATTTGCTTCTCAGAGAAGAAATTAAAGTTAATGATGGGCCAGGTGCGGTGTCTCATGCTTGCAATCCCAGCACTTTGGGATGCCAAGGCAGGAGGATTACTTGAGGTCAGGAGTTCAAGACCAGCCTCACCAACATAGAGAAACCCTGTCTCTACTAAAAATACAGAAATTAGCCGGGCATGGCAGTGCATGCCTGTTATCCCAGATATTCTGGAGGGTGAGTCAGGAGAATCACTTGAACCAGGAAGGTGGAGGTTGCAGTGAGCCAACATCGTGCCATTGCACTCTAGCCTGGGCAACAAGAGTGAAACTCTGTCTCAAAAGCAAAAAAAAAAAATTAGCCAGCGTGGTGGTGCATGCCTGTAATCCCAGCTACTCTGAGACTGAGGCAGGAGCATCACTTGAACCCAGGAAGCAGAGGTTACAGTGAGCCAAGATCATGCCACTGCACTCCAGCCTGGGCAACAAGAAGGAAACTCTGTCTCAAAAAATAAAATAAAATAAAAATAAAGATAATGATAAACAAATTTAAAGGCAAAAAACAAAAATCTAATAAAGTTACTTTTCTCTTTTGTTTCAGTTGGAGCAAAATAGGAAGTAGTAAAGATTCCTTGAAATCTATTTCAGAGCTGTTCCTTTGGGGCTATGAAATAAAAGACAAGACTGGTAGAAATGACTTAAAATGCAAAAATGGCAAAGGTAATGATCACCGTGGGTAGGTTATAAACGACTGTGGAGGTTTGGGGAGGCTAAATCATCCAGCCAACGGAAAAGTAGTCATTTGAATCTGAAGACAGTGAGCCTCTGCCTGCGTCTGTCTCATGTATTGGAATATCCTCTTATTAAATTACAGTGTTTTATAACTTGTGAATAAAATTGGTATCATGTTTACTATGCAAAAGCCTCGCTATTTTTCAGATGGATATATATTTAATATGAAATTGAAATGTAATATCTAAAGCACCAAGCAATAAAACCAACCCACCTTGTTTCAAACCCTGCTTAAGTTATTTTTTTGAATTCTGTATCTAATAACATGGTGCAATAACACTGAAACAAGATTCACACTATGATACTATTTGTTTAGGAGACCAAGAGTGTTGCTATGGAAACCGACCTTCAGTGTATCTATGGAAACAGTGACAGTGTTGTAAATAAAGATACTGAAAAGAGGAACCTAGTAAACTTAGCATATGAATTCTAAGAAAAAGAATAAAGAATGAGGACCTGCGGGGAGAAAAATTGTATATTTTCTTGTAAGAAAAAAAGCATTGTGACATATTTTATTAATCTCATGATAAAACTTTTAAGCTAAGTTTTCAAAATCTCCATTGTGTCTTCTACTATCTTCTGTTAGTTTCTGTCTTCTTCTTAACTGTCCAAATCATAACCTATTTATAATTAACAAAAACATTTATTGAACATTGTTTCAAATGACGCAACTTCACTATGATAGCATTTTAAAGGCCAACTTACCTTTTCTAAAAATGTTAACATGAAAAAAATTTCAGAAAGCATATGTTTAACTCACTTATGTTTTGAAGTTATAAAGTAATTTTTTTAAAAGATCCATCCATAATATTTACCAAACAATTTTAAATGGGCTATTAAAAGGAGGTTAGTTGTTTTTGTTTGTTTGTTTGTTTTGTTGTTTTCAACATTGCAACCCTTTGAAATCATTATTAAAAGACACACAAACATTTATTGAGTTGTAATTTCAATCTTCTGGCTTCATTGTGTCCTGCTGGAAGGAAACAACTATGTCTTCCCTTTGCATCTCCTGATATTGAGGAGACCGCTGTGCACCTAGGAGAGAGCCATGTGTGGGATGAAGGGATGAAGCTATTAAAGGAATCGAATATGATAAAACAAACGAACACACAAAAAGACAACAGAATGCAATATAATGTCAAGTGCCTGGCAATAATTACATGAGCTGGCTCAGTTATGTGGAAACTGATCTCATCTCATTTGAAAAGGCAAGAAAAGGTGACGGTTGTACACCAAGTAAAGCAACTCAGAGGAAGGGAGGGATGCAGATTGGGGCCCGCAGCACAGGAGAGAGGCGCAAGGCCGACCTCACCTGCGCTCTCCAGAGCCACCCCCTCCTCCTCCTCTCTCATGTCTCCGGCCATCAATCAAGTCACACAGAGATGGACAGAGCAGTCCTTTTGTAGCCGAGCCGAGAGCCATGCTTCTCCTAAACTGTTGGTTCCCAGATTCTTAAAAGATTTTGGTAAGTAAATATTTCATGTTAGTATAGGACTATGTATCCTGGCGTTTTAAAAACTCTAGAATAGTGCTTTTTTCTGTTTAAATTTGGAATTCTGTCATTTTTTAAGATCCCCTAAGAGGGTAATAAATAAGCATTTCGAATGAGGAGTTTAGACTAGATCCTTAGTCTTCAAATTCCTTTTCAGGCGTGGGGGACCTCTGGGGAGTGGCTCCAGAGAGGCTGCCTCTTTCCCTCATGAGAACAGCTCTGCTCACCTCACCTAAACTTCTTCAAATGCCTTCTTTAAAGTATTGGCTTCCTTGTTTACAACAGTCAAGAACAACCTTGAAAACTTCTGGGGAGGAAATCCCTTTCAGCTTTCTATTTCTGCAATTCTCTGGTTACTTTTCAATAAATAGTCAATGATAAAAGAACCACTAAGAAAGCATTCCTAACCAGAGGACTTTTGGACTCCCTTCAACGTAGAGCTAAGGGTCTCTCAATGACATATCAAGGCACATTTAACCGCAGGGGACATTTATTGAACATCTATCAGTTGCTCAGAGCACTTGTTGGCAGGCGCCAAGGCTGAGCAAGGCTACGGTGCTCGGCTCAGAAAGGAACCCAGAAGCCGTCCAGAACCGGGGTGGCTTCCCAGGGGAGTGGCCTCTGAGGTCGCAGGAGCCCACGCTCAGGGGTCCCCATGCTGGACTTTATGCTTTGCCATCTCCGTATTGAATTCCCAAATTATTTTCTCATGGAACTTGGGTTTTTAAGTGAAGCCTGTGGGGACAAGGAAGCACACGTGTGATCAGAGGAGAGAGAGGAATGGGGGACGAAGGAGAAGATCTTTATGCACAGTGAGATTGTCTTAGGTGGCTCGGACTACCATGGCAAATACTACAGACTGTACATCATTCAGATAGTCACATGCAGAGCTGGTAGCTCTGCACTAACAATAGCAAAGTCCATGGTACAGTCTGGAGGTGGCTAGTCCAAGCTCAAGGTGCCAACCGTTCACTTTCTGGCAAGGGTTCTCTTCCTGGCTGGTAGACGCAGCCTTCTTGCTGCTGTATGACAGGTGGGTTTGGTGGGAGACAGAGAGAGAGAGAGGAGCGGAGGGAAGTTCACTCTCTGGAGTCTCTTCTTATAAGAACACTAATCCTATTGCATCAGGGCCCTGCCATTATGACCTCATTCTACCTTAATTACTTTCTTACCCCAAATACAACAGCACCAGGGGTTAGGGATTCAATAGAGGACTTTGGCAGGCGTTGGGGAAACAACTTGGTTCCCAGCAGTACTATTCCAGCTTGAATTTTTAGCAGTAAAATAAAATCAAAAACAGAAAAGAGGTTGTTAGTTAAAAACTGGTATAACCACTTTGTGGAAGCTTACATAGTCATTCAATATTATATTTCCAAGGTCGTTCCATGACATAGAGAAGGCCTTGAGTATATGATAAGCACAAATGGTCACATGAAATTGTGCATAAGTACACAGTTTATTGACAACTACGTAGAGAAAGAGACATCTGCCTAGAAAAAAAATGCTGAAAGGTGATACATAAAAATACTGATAAAGGTATGTTTAGGTAGTAGGTATATTTTACATTTTTTTCTGTTATTCTGTATTTTCAAATATTCCTTCATGAATATATACTGCTTTTTACTAAAAAAAAGTTTGAATTATCCTATTAAATTTATGGTCATGATTTTTAAGAATAAAATAAATATGGAATAGAATAATTTACACACTACTAAATTGATGAGTTAATATTTTCCTTGAGTTTATAAACTCAAATTGGATCAAATTATTAAAATTCAAAAAAATTCTAAAGGAAGGTTATTTTTTGAACTTCGGTTCTCAAATGTAATTTGAACGTATTAACTTCCAACACTAGCAACAAAAATATCCATCGCAAACGAGAGTCATTTGCAAGCTTGCTTTGGCAAAATAAGCCCTTTTCAAATGGGACCTTACACAGTATTCCAATATAAAATTCACACTGAAATGAAGCCCCTCTAGTGAATACCAATTTGGGGCCCTGCCCATGCCCATCCTCCTGGAGGCTCCCAAGGAACCTCTGTTGAACCCAGGGTTCCGTGAGCCACAGTTCTAATGCTCTTGGACAGAGTAGAGTATGAGCCCTGGGTTTTAAGTCCCAGCTCTACAGGTAACTATTTGCATGATATTCAGAAAGTTGTAGCATGATGTTGATGAATTATATTATCTCTGGGGTCTCCTCCAAGTCTGTAGTTCTTTGAATCTGTTTGACTAGGGTGGACCATGCCAGTATGCATTTTTGTTTTCTTTTTTTTTTGAGATGGAGTCTCACTCTGTCACCCAGGCCGGAGTGCAGTGGTGCAATCTCAGCTCACCGCAAACTCCGTCTCCCAGGTTCAAGTGATTCTCCTGTCTCAGCCTTCCAAGTAGCTGGGATCACAGGTGCCTGCCATTATGCCTGGCTAATTTTTGTATTTTTACTAGAGATGGGGTTTTACCGTGTTGGCCAGGCTGCTTTCAAACTCCTGATCTCAGATGATCCACCTGCCTCAGCTTCCCAAAGTGCTGGGATTACAGGCACGAGCCACCGCATCTGGCTGCTAGTATGCATTTGTTTAAATTATCAAATGGGAATCTGAAATGGGGCAATGGGAATTAAGAAAAATCATCTTTTTTTATTTAGAACTATCTTCAGACATGAACCCTCACAGTTGAACACATTACTTCACAATAAATATAGGCTGCCCTTCCGTGCCCCTCAGCCAAATGCCTTTTTAATTTTTTTTTTTATTTTCAACTCTTGCAACTAAATAAAGCAATCATACCACTAGTGTGACGGTTAATTTTATGTGTCAGCTTGGTTGGGCCATGGTGCCCAGATATGTGGTCAATCTTTATTCTGGATATTTCTGTGAGGATATTTTTGGGTGAGATTTCCCTGATATGGGTGAGCCCCATCCGATCTGCCGAAGGCCTGAAGAGCACAAAAAGCTGACCTCCCTGCAAGCGAGAGAGAATTCAGCAGCAAACAGCCTTCAGACTTCATCTGCAACATCAGCCCTTTCTGGCTCTGCACGAAACTGTCTTCAGACTCAAACTGCAGCTTTTTCCTGAGTCTCCAGACTGCTTACCACCCCCATCAGATTTTGGACTCACCAAGCCTCCACTGTCCCATGAGCAAATTCCTTAAAATATCCACCTATCTATCTCCTATTGGTTTGTTTCTCTGGGAACCCTGACTAATGCAACCACCTTTATCATAAACTCGGAAGAGAATTCTCCATGACCCTCACATGTCTGCACATCTTCTGAGTAGAGGCCGTGAGAGTCTTTGTCCTGGAGTATCTTGTGAAAGATAGTTAAATAGTGAACAGCTTTGGAAGACAGAGACTGTGTGTCCTTCAAAGCAAAGGGCAGGTATGCCTACTGCTTCTTGTGAAAGGCAGCTTCCCATCCTCCAAGTTTAGGTTCACCTCCTGAAATGCAATCCACTGCATGTGCAAATGTCACCTGACCCTCCTTCAGTCACCCTCTGGGGGTGGGGAGTAGGAGAACCAAAATTGCTGATACTCTGCCTACTGCTATTGCTTGAGTCATAAAGTCCTTTTGGTCTTTGACCCAGAGTACTCATATCTTCTGTCAGCATTCACAAAACTAGGACAGGCTAACTTGAAACCTTACAAATAGGGTAAAATATTAGATCCTTCCCAGTTCCTTACAGTCCACATAAAATATGCCAAAGGGTCTATAATCAGAATCTCATCAAATGCATTGTGTGGTGTCTTGAAAATATATCTACAAATCCTTTGACAATCCTTCTTTGAAAAGGTGAGGTTCAATTCTGCTCCTCTGCGTGTCAGCTGGACTTTGTAACTTGCTTCTACAGAAATAGAATGTGGCAGAATGGGAGGCTAAGGTGGAGGGATCCCTTGAAGCCAGAAGTTTGAGACCAGCCTGGGCAACAGAGCAAGACCCTGTCTCTACAAAAAAGTTTAAAATTGACCAGGCGTGGTGTCTCACACCTGTAATCCCAGCACTTTTGGAGGCCAAGGTGGGCCGAATCATTTGAGGTCAGGAGTTCAAGAGCAGCCTGGCCAACACGGTGAAACCCCATCTCTACTAAAAATACAAAAATTAGCCAGGTGTGATGGTGGGTGCCTGTAATCCCAGCTACTCAGGAGGCTGAGGAAAGATAATCATTTGAAACGAGTAGGCGGATGTTGCACTGAGCTGAGTGTGCCTTTGCACTCCAGCCTGGACGACAGATTTAGACTCTGTCTGAAAAAAAAAAAAAAAAAGTTGAAAATTAGCTAGGCTCAGTGGCGTGTGTGCACCTGTAGTCCCAGCTACTCAAGTGGCTGAGGCGAGATGATAGCTTGGGCCCAGGTGTTCAAGACTGCAGTGAATCATGATCGCACCACTGCATTCCAGCCTGGGTGACAGTGAGACTCTGTGTCTACAAACAAATAAACAAACAAAAGCAAAAAACAAGACACATGAGCCATTCTATGGATGTCTTCAAATAAGCAACTATTTACTCTTATTGTCTTTATATGTGACAATATCCAAAGGGCAGCCTATTCACTCTGGAACATCTCACATGAGCAATTATACAGTGAAAGGAGCAAAAAAAGAAAAAAAATTAAAACCCTGAACATGAGCGATGGAATCAGAAGTGTCTATTCTGCCTCTTACTAAGAAGTGACCACACCCAAAGTCACTGAAGCTCTCTGATTTTCAGGTGATTTTGGATGACTAGTGTAGTCATACCTAGCTGTCTGGATAATTTTGATGATGAAATCAGAAACATAATAGCATTTATTATCTACTAAACATTGTGTACCGGAATTTAGAGCCATGATTTCTTTTAACATATCCAAACCATCTAGAATTGTGCCTGGCACATGTTATGTAATGCATAAACCTTAGGCCCTGTCTTCTCCCAACATAGAAGATTGATACTTGATCATGTGCCCATGATCTCAGTTTATGTGCCTTAAAATAAAATCCATGACTTCCTCTTGTTATGATGATGGCAAACATCTACTTGTAACTGTGCTCTAGTTAAAAAAAAAAAGTAATACTTCAACTTTTATGATTACAAGGCAATACACATTAAAATGACTCATTCTGATGAAGATATCAAAGTTACTGCTATCCAATGTGACTCTACTTCAGTCATAAAGAAAACGTTCTCATGTAGCCAGAGTCATCACAGTGGAAAAACAACTTCACTCCTTCCCTGAGCACTTGTGACAGCACCTCAGGTCTCACAGATGGGCTCAGGGGTCCCACAGGTGAGGTGCACACACCCAAGGTTCTGTACAGAATGATATATTGCAATACAAGTAAAAGAACATTAGAGCTTCTATGCACATTTATTTTTATCTGATTCATTTATTACGTGTATGTTTCTGTGTATCCTTTATAATGCTCAAAATATAACAGAAGACTTACCTGTCTCTATATTGTTTGTTCCTATCACTGTCTAATTGCTCATGGAAGCCACCCAGCAGGAAGGGGCTGGTCTTACACATCAGCAAATGTTAATGTCTTTATATGTTCATGATCAAAACCTTTTTACTGATGAGGTGTGTATCCTCAAAATATTTGGAAACCTCTGCTGCAGACCATCATTTAGATTAGAGTTGAAACTGACACTTAGCATTTAGATGGACTAAGACTAATTATGTCACCAATTTACAACAAGAATATTTTACAAAAATAAAACATAAAACGGCCTGGCGTGATAGCTCATGCCTGCAATCCTAGGACTTTAGGAGGCTGAGGCGGGTGGATCACTTGAGCTCAGGAGTTCAAAACTAGCCTGGGCAACATGGCAAAACCATATCTCTGTAAAAAACACAAAAATTAGCCAGGTGTGGCGGCACGAGCCTGTAATCCCAGCTGCTTGGGACTAAGGCAGGAGGATCACTTGAGCTGGGGAGGTGGAGGCTGCAGTGAGCCCAGATCACACAGCTGCAATCCAGCCTGGGAGACAAAGTGAGACCCTGTCTCAAAAACAAAAACAACAAAACCCATAAAATAACTGTATTTAAGGGCTACTACAGCAGTGCTTCCACCTTTCAGATATGTCTATGCAGTGATCACCAAGTGTGAAGTGGCAGTTAGCTATAACCAGCTAAAACTGTTCTTGAACCAGACTAATACGACTTCTTTTCAGAACATTATTTGCATGGTGGTCTGGAATACTTGCTGTCTTTGCTGCTGGTCGAGTTCTCTGACAACCTGAAACAAGTGTTGAGGAACTGCTTCTATTTGGTCTCCAACATATGTCACATATTTCTGGGAAACATGATGAGCAACAGTGTGGTCCTTGTGAGAGATGGTGTCACTCTTTCATTTGTGCCAAGACGTATGTTTCTGCTGAACTGCAGACAAGTGGGAATAGCTTAAGTGTAAATTACCAAAAAGGTGAATGTCCTGGGAGAAAACAATGTTAAACCAGTAACAGTTTGCCAGAGTCTGCTAAGCAGGATGTCTCATACGGCTTGTAGTATATCAGGTTTATTAACTTAAAGATCCACTTTATCAGATCTCTAGCTAATCACTGAAATGATCATTTTTAAATTTAACATAGAGTTCTCTATCTATATTTTCACTACTATAATAACATATTAGAACTACTCACTGGTAATTGTTAATTCAATATGTGAAAGTAAAAAACTGGTATCCTTATAAGCACACAACCTAGATAAAGCTCTTATATTCTTTTTTGGTACAGAGAGAGAGAGATGGGTGAAATATTATTATTTCATAATTATTCTGTAGACCAGCAAAACTGCCATCCCAGGAATCATTTGGTTACAGCAGACCAAGAGGTTAAAGGAATGGTGAATTATTCATAGTATCCTTCACAATTGTAGAACATCCAAATAGAAACCGTGAGAAGTATTAGAGATCATTAATTATTTCTAGTTGCACATTGCAACTTCAAAAAGTCTCAGGATGAGTCAAATTTCCACTGTGGTTGTACACTATGGCCTCATCACACCAACTTTTATATTTTAAGTTACATATTGGGAATTTCCTCTGTGGAAAATAAGCTTACGGTAATGCTATGCTCTGCACAGTAAAATTAGACTTGAATGAATGGTTGAAAGAATGATATTGACTCTAATATGCTGTAGCATACATGAGCAAGTGGTTATGCCTACCGACAGAAAATTAGTTAACAAGGAAAGCTCTCAAAAGGAGGTAAAAGCTATATTTAAAGGAAATCTAAGTCAATTAGCTATTAAATACAATTGACTTACACTACTTGTGATTGAATGTTGAAAATATGTGTGTTAAATTCTATAAATGGTAATAAACTGTTTTCATCTTTATGAATAAAATTGAATATTCTTTAATAATTTGAAATACTGAAGTCACAACTATGCAAGAAGCAGTTTCCCATGATCATGAGTATTTTATACAAGCTGCTTATACATTTTTATACTCCTTTTAGAGTTCTATGGAGGTCACAAAATAAAATTTTGCATTTTGCTTTTCTGTTATTTCAAGTAGGATATATAGTAGAGTAGTAGATGTACATCCTCCTGGAATTTTTTTTTTTTTTTTTTTTTTAGATGAAGTCTCGCTCTGTCACCCAGGCTGGAGTGCAGTGGCACGATCTCGGCTCACTACAGTCTCCGCCTCCCAGGTTCAATCAATTCTCCTTTCTCAGCCTCCCGAGTAGCTGGGATTACAGGCATGCACCACCATATATATATGTATATATATATGCACTTCACCTCCCCAGGTGTGTCTGCTGCTATCCCTGGGCTTATGTTTCCCTGAAGCCCAAGTCTCTTTCTCTTGCCTGTGAGAACCATGGGCTTTGCCAACTCAGAGGTGTGGTCTTGCTCCACTTCCATCTCCAATACCATTTTATGGGGCTGTCCTTCCCTGCCCCCCACACACCCATTCAGCCTGTGGGACTCTTCTGGGAGGGCTTATTCTCTATTTGTCCCCTGTGATCTGCATCCTGAGATGACTTACTGTTTGAGTTATTCCTGTGGCCTTCCGCTGACGATTTGCCTTCTGTTATCACTGCAGACATCATGGGCATCACACACTATACATGTCCCTGG
Organism: Homo sapiens; assembly: GCF_000001405.40. Lineage (NCBI taxonomy): Eukaryota > Metazoa > Chordata > Mammalia > Primates > Hominidae > Homo > Homo sapiens. Next base: position 3,864,706 of record NC_000010.11, on the reverse strand, counting down.
AAGTTCTTGCGGGGACTGGGTTGTTTCTTAGTGGTTTGGAGTCACTGTATGGCTAGTGGATTCATTTCCTACGCTGCCATAACAAAGTGCCACAGACAGGGTGTCACAATAACAGAAATGGACTGTCTCAAGTTCTGGAGGCTGGAAGTCCCAGACAAAGTTGTCGTCGGGTTGTTTCCTCCTGAGGCCATGAGGAAGAACCTGTTCCAGGCCTCTCTTCACTTCTGGCGGTTGCTGGTCCTCAGTTTTCCTTCCTTGGTGTGTAGAAACATCATCCCGATCTCTGTCTTCATGTTCACCTGGGCGTGTGCCTGTGTCCTAATCGCCATTTCCATAGGGCTATCAGTCATGCTGCATTGGGGCACTGGAGGACCTCATCCTACATCAATCACATCTGTAAAGACCCAGTCTCCAAATGAGGTCTCATCCTTAGGTACTGAGGTTTAGGGCATCAACATATGAATTTGACCCAATTCAACCCATAACACCTAATGACGTCTGTGTGCCTAGAGGATGCCCCCAAATCCTGCAAATGGCTCCACTTGCACTTACAAAGGCCTCACTGACCAATATGCCAACATTTTATTTATTTTTATTTTTATTTTATTTTTTGAGACAGGATCTCACTCTCTCACCCAGGCTGGAGTGCAGTGGCAATCATAGCTCACTGCAGCCTCAACATCCTTAGGTAAAAGGAACCTCCTGTCTCAGCCTTCTGAGGAGTGGGGACCACAGGTGCATGCCACCATATCTGGCTAATTTTCAAATTTATTTGCAGAGACACGTTCTGGCTCTGTTTTCAGAACCCCTAGGCTCAAGGGATTCCCCCACTTTGGCCTTCCAAAATGCTGGGGTTACAGGTGTGAGCCACCATGCCCAGCCTGCCTACATTTACATGGATTTTAACAGGCTGTAATTGTTTGAAAAGCCCAACTCGTGTGTGTGTGATTTTGTTTGCATGATTTTGACTTGATGATCCCATTTTCTTGTTTCTCTTCATTCCACCTCCTTCAAGATGACAAAGGCAGAAATCACAGGCTTTACCTTCTCATTTATAAAATGACTCAGCAGGTGGGCGCAGTGGCTCACACATGTAATCCCAGCACTTTGGGAAGCCAAGGCGGGCGGATCACTGGAGGTCGGGAGTTCAAGACCAGCCTGACCAACATGGTGAAACTCTGTCTCTACTAAAAATACAAAAATTAGCCAAGCATGGTGGTGGGAGCCTGTAATCCCAGCTACTCAAAAGGCTGAGGTAGGAGAATCGCTTGAAACCAGAACGTGGAGTTTGCAGTGAGATGAGATCATGCCACTGCACTCCAGCCTGGGCGAAAGAGCGAAACTCCGTCTCAAAAATAAAATAAAATAAAATAAAATAACTCAGCAAGATAGTAGGAGTGCTTGTTTGCTTTTGTTTTTCAATCTAACAGCCTATTTTAACTGGCAAGTCTAGCAAACTGAACACTACTTTTGTTTTGTTTTGTTTTGTTTTGTTTTTTTCCGAGACAGGATCTTGCTCTGTCACCCAGGCTGGAGTACAGTGGCACAATCTTGGCTCACTGCAGCCTCGAACCTCCCAAGTTCAAGTGATTCTTGTGCCTCAGCCTCCCAAGTAGCACAGATTACAAGTGTGTGCCACCACACTCAACCACTTTTTTTCTTTTTGTAGAGACAAGATTTCACCATGTTGACCAGGCTGGTCTCGAACTCCTGACCTCTAGGGATCCACCCACCTCGGCCTCCCAAAGTGCTGGGATTACAAGCATGAGCCACAGTGCCAGGGCAGAACATGAGATCTGAAGTAGAGAGAACTGTCTTCTACTTCTCACTCTTTCAAAATCATTATATTAGGTAAAACAAAATAAAGTACTTCTGGGTTTTTTTATTTCAATTTCTTTTATCTAAGAGTTAATGAGTTCACCTGGGTTTAAGGAGATTTGTAATGGATTTTTAAATCCTTACTATTATTATTTTTATTATAATGTTGGGTTATTAATACTGAGCTAAAATGTCATTCGATGTGCAAAATGAAGTGATAAGTACCATTGAGCTTTTAAGAAGTACATTATAGAAGGAGTCCATTATGAAAATAATCTCAGGTTATAGCTGGCTCTCAAAAGACCTAGGAAATAAGGTTTTAAAACCAAGGTATTGCATGCCATTGTAACAAATAAATTTGTAAAACATACTAAAATCCCAATGTAATAAGTGCTCCTTAGAGAATAGTGACAAATTGTATTAACATTGTATTTTTTAAAAAGTAAAAAAATAAAGACCCAGTCCCTTGAGGTGGCAATGAGTGATATCCAGGGATGCTAGCACCAGAGCTGCCTGCGTACAACCTGCCAGGCTGGAGGGACTCTGGGCCCTTGAAGTTAGGGTCACCTGATGGCCATTTGCTGATGCCCCTCAGAAGTGACAAAAGGGTGCAGAATTACTCCTGGGGTTCTCCTATGAGCAAGGCAGACAGCAGCCTCCAATGGCCAGCAGTGTTGAGTGAGATATTGTGGAAAGAGCAAGGAAAACACTGGAAATCCTCTACTGGAAATGATGCGGATAATGGTGACAGAAGAATGCCGCAGCAGGAACCCCCAGGAGCGCTGAGGGCAGCTCATGAGGCTGTGGTCGCATTGGCCCCAGGGGACATGCTGTCACCATGCCCAGATGGAATGTGGCCAGTGGGGGAGATCAGCTGAGGCAGCAGGAAGAAACCGCTGGACTCGTTGTAAGGGCCCGGACGCCTGTGACGACGGTGACGACGGAGACACAACTGTCAGGAACAGAGTGTGATCGCTGACTCGCACTGTGGTGCAAAGTGCTCAGGACAGCGGGGACTCAGTCCAGTTTCCATGCAGTGAGAGTTCATGTTCACCAGCAGAGATGGGCATATCCTGAATGGGTTGCCAGGCCAGGGACAACGAAGTCGCAGAGTGTTGTCAAAAATAATAACAAGGGCTGGGCGCGGGGGCTCACACCTGTAATCCGAGCACTTTGGGAGGCCGAGGCGGGTGGATCACCTGAGGTCAGGAGTTCGAGACCAGCCTGGCCAACATAGTGAAACACCGTCTCTACCAAAAATACAGAAATTAGCCAGGCGTGGTGATACGCGCCTGTAATCCCAGCTACTCAGGAAGCTGAGGGAGGAGAATCGCTTGAACCCGGGAGGAGGAGGTGGCAGTGAGCCGAGATTGTGCCACTGCACTCCAGCCTGAGTAACAGAGCGAGACCCAGTCTCAAATAATAAAAATAATAATAAGCATACTAGACATTATGCATTGTATTTCCCCTGCAATCATGTAAAGTCATCTGTGTGTGTGTGTGTGTGTGTGTGTGTGTGTGAGAGAGAGAGAGAGAGAGAGAGATTTATATATAATCCAAAAAATGTACTTGTTTTGGTTTTACGTTAATTTTTTAACTGGCTGAGTAATACAGTCACACAGTTTAAAAATTAAAAAATGTACTGAAAAGGAATCAGGAAATTCCTCTTTTGGAAATGTTTTCAGATTGAATTCATTACACAAGATAGTCAGGCGCATGACTTTAGAATCACACTTCTATGTTGTTGTTTTTATCAGAATCAACATTCCCCAGATTAATCACCAGCTCCCAGTACGAATGAGCCAAAGAGAGTGCCTCAGACGGAGGTGATCATAGCACAGACCCACAGGCTGGGAGGACTCTGAGGGGCACCCAAAAGGAGTCTCCAAACTGTTTTGAGCAAGGGACCCACCCTTGACCTACGAGTCAAATATTCTGGAATCTTCTCAACGTGTTCGAAGATTTAGGCAAAAGATATCATGCGACCTATAATATAAATTTAACCTTTGGCAGAATGAACTATGCCATGACTTCAATCCATTGTAACTGGTATTGTATTATTTACTGTATTACTAATTTTTTGGATGACAGTTTTGAGTCCTCCAATGAAAGCAGAAAATACTCTGTGGTTCTTATTTGCCCATGGAAATGAAGTGGTAGGACAGAGTTCAGACAGCTAGGATCAAAACAAGATTTTAACCTAAATAGTTTGTTTTACCATGACATACAGCAGTGGAAAATTGTGAAAAATAGCCACTTGAATTAATGTATAAAACTTTGCTCTTATCTGTGTGTAATGTGACAAGCATAGTGATGTGTTATCGGCTTAACATGTCTTTCCTCTTCTCTGCACTCAGTGAAACCTCAACACAGGAAAACAATCATTTCTAATGACCATTTGGAAATGCTTCTTAACCTAAGAGCAAGAGAGCCAGAAATATATATGTATCTGTACATACATTTACATATATTTTTACAGATATAAAAAGTATATATAATAAATTTTATGTATTTATATAAAATTAAATATATATATATATATTGAGATGGAGTCTCGCTCTGTCGTCCAGGCTGGAGTGCAGTGGCGCAATCTCCACTCACTGCAAGCTCCGCCTCCCAGGTTCACGCCATTCTCCTGCCTCAACCTCCCGAGTAGCTGGGACTACAGGCACCCGCCACCACGCCTGGCTAATTTTTTGTATTTTTAGTAGAGACGGGGTTTCACCGTGTTAGTCAAGATGATCTTGATCTGCTGACCTTGTGATCCGCCCACGTTGGCCTCCCAAAGTGCTGGAATTACAGGCGTGAGCCACCGCGCCCGGCCTATTTTTATATATTTTACATATTTATATAAACCATATAGTTATACATATATAAATATATAGGTATTTATATATATTATAATATATAGGTATTTTTATATATTATAATATATAAATATATAATATATAAACATATTTATATTATAATGAATATATTTACATGTATTTGTTATAATGTTTAAATTATATATATTTATTATATATGTATAAATATATTCATTTGTATAAATGTATATATATTAACTTTTGAAAAACATAAAAGCAGGTATTTATCTTAAGTAGCTTCTGGAAAGGCCAAATACAAATGTATGCATTTTAGTGCCTTAAAAACACTCCAATACGTGCAATTATTTTTAATGAATTCAGTATTATTTCTACTATAAATTCTTGGCAAAATTGGTGAGAATTTTGTGAAGGAAGTTTTGTTCTTGCTCTCTGAACTATAAGATGTTTTGAAACGTCTTAAAGAACAGGAGGAATAAGACTAGGAGTTGCTTTAAAGGCTGTCTTCATCTCTGCAACTTTACAGCCCAAATACTTTTGGCATTCAACAAAACTGAGTTCAAATCCAGGCTCTGCTATGTTTAATAGAGCACTAAATGGGCTTCTAAGCCTCTTGGAGCTTCGGTAAAATGAGACGGATAATATTGACCTTAGTGTGAAAATTGGGTTAAATTAGGAAAAACAAATGAGATAATGGGATTGAGTGAAAATGAGGATAACTCTTACTTTAGCAGAAGGATTAAATTAAATAATGTCAGACCAGGTGTGGTGGTGGCCCACACCTGTAATCCTAGCATTCTGGGAGGCCAAGGTGGGTGGATCTCTTGAGCCCAGGAGTTTGAGACTAGTCTGAGTAAAATAGCAAGACTCCATCTATACTAACAATAATAATAATAATAATAATAATAATAAATTAGCAGAAGGTGGTGGCGAATGCCTGTAGTCCCAGCTACTGGAGAGGCTGAGGTGGGAGGATCCCCTGAGCCAGGAAAGTTGAGGCTGCAGTGAGCTAGAATCACACCACTGCACCCCAGCCTGGGTGACAGAGTGAGATCCTTCATAGACATTATCTGATTTTTTTTTAGCCTTCAGCAGAATTTTTTTTTTTTAAATAAAATTAGATAATGTCTGTGAAGTGCTCAGCTCCCTGCCTGGCTGTCGTAGTTGCTGGAGAAGAGACACATCACCGAGGGGCATTGAAGGGGACTTTCGCTGAATGGCGGTATGATATGACTGGCGGTGGGCTTCTTTGGCCAGCCTAGTTAGGATGGCCCGGGTGGGCAGGAGTTGGAGATCAGCCTGGCCAACATGGCATGCCCCAACGTTAGCAGCTTAAACCAACAATGCCTGGTTATTTTCCACACACCTGTGAGTTTTCTGCTTAGACCTGTGTGTGAAGCCTGGGCTCACACTGCAGCTGCAGTCAGTGTGCTGGCTGGCAGGACGAAGGGCTCACCTGCACACTGAGTGCATCGGGCATAGCGGATGCTGTTCCTCTTCTTTGCAAGGCCTTTCTCTCCAAGCTTCTTTGCAGAATGGAGGCTCACAGCTGTGTCCCAAGCGGCCAAGCTCTGGGGTCTTGTGCTCCCTCCCTTGAACAATGCTTGCATCCTGCTGGCTGCGCTGTGTTTGCATCATGTGCTCCAAAGTCCCACTGGCCAAGTCCAGATTCAATGTAGACAAGAAATACACAGCAAATGAGAGTTGAGCAGGGCTATTCTTGGAGTGTCTTCATCTATTGGGGCTTCTATAACAAAGTACTTCAGACGATTAGGCAATTTATGAACAACAGAAATGCATTGCTCACAGTCCTGGAGGCTGGACAGATCAAAGAGGCAGCAGATTTTTGAGCAGGTCAGGTCCTGTTTCTCATAGATGGTGCCTTCTCTGTATCTTCTTGTGGTGGGAGAGGCAAACACCCTCCCTCAAGCCCTTTTGTCGGGCCACTAACCCCATTCATGGGCACTTCACCTTCACGGCTTCATCACTTCCCAAAAACCCCACTCTTAATCTTCATGGGCATTAGCTTCCAAAATATGAATTTTGGAGAGAAACATACCTTCAGATCACGTAGTAATCTAACAAAGTGCAACCTTATATTTACAAATAAGGAAACTGTGGCTCGTAGACATTAAGAACCTTGCCTGGCTGGGCATGGTGGCTCACACCTGGCAATTTGGGAGACCAAGGTGGGAAGATTGCTTGAGCCCTGAAGTTCAAGACCAGCAGGGGCAACATAGTGAGTCCCTGTCTCTACAAAAAATAAAAGAAAATAGGCTGGGCATGGCGGCACATCCCTGAAACCTCCGCGCTTTGGGAGGCCAAGGCAGGTGGATCAGGTACTTGAAACGGCCCCTTCTTCAGCAGCTCAGGCTGCTGAAACAGAACACCGCAGCCTGGGTGCTTCAACAAAAAGAAAAATGCATTTCCTCTCAGCTCTGGAGACGGAAAGTCCAAGATTGAGGTGCCAGCAGGGTTGATGTCTGACAAGGCCTCTCCCCTCGGGTTCAAAGGGCCACCTTCTCAGTGTCCTCACATGGCCTTCCCTTTGTGGGCATGGGAGAGAAAGCGATCTCTGGTCTTCTTCCTGTTCTTGTAAGGACACCCGTCCTATTGGATTAGGGGCCCGACCTTATGACATCATTTAATCTGAATGACCTCCTTAAATGCCCTATCTCCAAATACAGTCACATTTGGGGTTAGGACTTCAATATTTGGATTTGAGGGGACGTGATTCAGTCCATAGCAGGCTGTATTGTCTAGAGGAAGCTTGGCAAGAGCTGGGCCGGTATCACTCAGGCTGTGTAAGGTCCAGGCCCTCGGAGGCCACTGCTCACGTCCAAGCATGAGCCTTGCAGGAGACCCTCAGAGGCTGACTTCCAGCTGCAGCACCCCTAAAATGTGTTCCCATGCACTCCACACCTTTGCTTTGCATTCAAACAACTAAAAATAGCAATAAATAAATAAATAAATAAACAAATAGGGGCTAAAATCTTTAAGACTTCACACACACACACAATTTCAAAAGACTGCTTGTTAGTCAAGAGCTACTAGAAATGACTTCTCTGTTATTGTTACTTATTTTAAAATTACTCTACATAAGGGATCTCCTATATAGCTCGCATATACATTAAACTGAAATGGTTTCTTCCCTTCAGCTCCGCACTAAAATCCAAACTCAAGAGAGCGGAGATTTTGTTTGTTTACTCATGTTGTAATCCTGGTGCATAGAACATATTGCTCTGCACACAGTAGGTGCTCACTAACTGCTGTTTGGTTGGAGAATGAATGAGGGCAGAAACGTGCATGTGCCTAAGTACTTTCTGATTCTTTGTCTCTTAGAGAGATCATATTTTGCTCTTGTATTGAAAATGACTTTGCATGTTCAACTAAAATGATGTGTTCAGGCAGACACACGCTCATGTTGCTTGGCAATGAAACACCGGCGCCTAAATGTGTTCTTAGACATTTGTTGAATAAAATGATAGGTGAAAGAGTCAATGAGATTGGAATAGACTAAGATGAGTGGGAAGACTTTCGCTAAGTGACATTTTTGAAGCAGCATTTTAAGACTGACCGGGTCATTGTGTGCAGAAGTCTTGAGCACCGGAGAAGGGAGAGCATGGCTGGAGGGAGGAAAGGTTGGAGGCAGAGCCCAGACCAGCCTGAGACAGGGAGGGCAGAAGCAGCGCAGCGCCTGGGAACACCCAACAGAAGGGACATATCGGGGCATCACTGAGAGGGCGAAGGGGAAAGTCTTCTTGGTTTTTGAAAAGAAGAAAGTATTTAGGTCGAGAGGAAGAGAACAAACTTTTTTTATTTTTTAGATGCAGTCTCACTCTGTCACCCAGGCTGGAGTACAGTGGTGCCATCATAGCTCACTGCAGCCTTGACCTCCTGGGGGCAAGAGATCCTCCCACCTCAACCTCCCCAGCAGCAGGGGTCACAGGTGAGCACCACTGTACCTAGCTAACTTTTTAAAATTTTTAATTTTGTGGAGACGGGGTCTTGCTATGTGGCCCATAGGCAGGTTGCAAACTCCTGACCTCAAGTGATCCTCCCACCTTGACCTCCCCAAGTGCTAGGATTACAGGCATGAGCTACCTCACCAGGCTGAGAACAAGCTCTTGAACCTCAAGTGTGAGGCTCGAGGGAAAGTGAATACCATCAACACGTTAACCAAAAGGTGAGGCCTTGTTTGGGCAGTTACAGCTCACCTGCCTACCTCCGTCCTCTCGCATGGGGAAGCTATGCTGGCCTCATGATGGTGTTTGTCAGATCATATTGAGATTTTCTATGCCGAGAAAGCTGTGAATGTCTACGGTTAAGGCATGGATTGCAAATCCAAGTGCTATGGACTAAATGTTTGTCCCCAACCCCCGTGGGCCAAAGGCATATGCCGAAGCCCTAACTCCTGAGGTGATGTATTAGGAGGTTCAGGCTTTGGTAGGGGGAAGGTTTAGATGAGGTCAGGAGAATGGCAGCCTTGAGATGGGATTCTAGAGGAACCGCAGGAGGCTTTGCTTCCTCTCTCTGCGCCCCGTGAGAACACAGTGGGAAAGCAGCCATCCCCAAGCCAGGAGCAGAGTCCTCACCCAAAACCCACCACACTGGTACCCTGTTCTCAGATTTCCAGTTTCAGAAGTGGGAGAAACAACTGTCTGTTGTTTAAGCCACCTGTCTCAGGTATTTTGTTATAACAGCCCAAACCGATTAAGACACTAAGACCCAGGAGACTGGGTTCTGACTTGCTAGTCTCTGGCTGTGTGAATCTGGTCAAATCACCCTAGTTCACCAGCTCATATAGCTTTTCTCATCTGTTAAAGAATAGACTCTCTTTATCAGAAGGTTGCTACGAGAACTCAAGGCAATGATGCTAGAAGTTGTGTAGCACACTGCTCAGCAGGTCATAAATGGCAGTTGTAGTTATCAGCCTCTCCGACTTTAAATGTAGGTGGCTCTGGAGAAAAAGAAGCCTCAGCATCAGCACCACACAGATCATCTGAGTCCTAGAGCCCAACCAGCCTTGGAGGCCACATGGTACGAAACAGCAGCCAGACACCAAGGTACTTGGTACCAAGACAATACTCCTGATCTCCATCATGAACCAATCTATGCCTTATGGGTGAGCTCCCATGAACCCGAGGAGGAACCACGGATGTGAGCTGGCTCGTGCACCTTGTCCATTCCCTGCCTGAGAGGCCTCTTCTGAGTGCCCAGGTGAGGCTGCACAAGCCTCTGGGGTACTTCCTTCACATTCCTTTCCCTTTTCAATATCTACAGGCATTTATGCTCCAGGCATCTGTAATCCCAATGCTTTGGGTGGCTGAGGCAGGAGGATCACTTGAGGCTAGGAGTTTGAGACCACCCTGGGCAACATAGTGAGAACTTGTCTCTACTAAAAAAAAAAAAAAAAAATGTAGCTGGGAGTGGTGGTGTGCACCTTTAGTCCCAGCTATCTGGGAGGCTGAGACAAGAGAATCGCTTGAGCCTGGGAGGTCAATGCTGCAGTAAGCCGTGATTCCACCACTGCACTCCAACCTAGGTGACAGAGTGAGATCCTATCTATGTCAAAACAAAGCCAAAAAGCCTTTATACATCTCTTGGTTTTCAAATGAACGCTTATATAAAAGCCTGCTGTATAAAGCAGATCTAAGTAGACCTGCCCAGTTTATGCACAGATCAGTGAGGGACAGAGCGGGGAACCGGGTGGCTGGGAGGAAAACATGGGCACGTGCACCTTCAGTCCTAGCTGCTGTCCGGGCTGGTGAAGGATAAGGCGAGGCTGAGACTCTCAGACTCCGAATACAAACAGTATCATCCGGTTTCTGATTTGTTAGGGTGAAAAGGGAGAAATACAATGTGACCAGTCTATTCTGGGCCCACAATGTATTAGCAATTACCTCCCAACCACCACCCTGCAACATAGTATTCAGATTAAATTTCCCTGGGAGAACAGACTGCAAGGCATGGAAAGCACCTTTTACAAAATTAGGGACCTGTGGATTTCCAGAAGCTAAAAATGATAACGGGCTTTTATTAGGAACCCAACAGGGGGCCATAACCACTCCTAAAAAACCTTATTAGATGCAGCCCACACAGGCATTCTGCAAGGAGATCTCCGTCCCCAGGGCATATTCCTTTCCCAGGAGTGGAGTGGACGGTGCTAGGACCCAACAGCACACATGTGCAAAGTGTTTGGCCAGTGTTCTGGAACGCAGCCTGTGGCTCTTCAATAAAACTTTCCTCAGAGCAAACAAGCAGGCTCTAGAGGTAATCACACATAGTCTCTTATTCCCATTAGCAACCCCAAACAAGCAAGTGGCCTTACCCAAATAGTAGAGAAGCCTAGGTTATTTTTAAATCTGCTCAGTTGAGTGTGTTTCAGAATTTGTGATTTCCTAACAACAAAAAGCTTGGTACCACTGTTGAAATGACAGGAGAATTCCGAAGCAGGCGGAGCAAGGAGAGAGAGAGGCAACCTAGGGCAAGGCTCGCATTACAGATGAAGGCAAAGAAGGAAGCCCTATGTAGAGGAGACTCTTTCTGTCTTTGGAAAGTCTGATGAAAATCGGGTCTAGAAAACCAGCTATGACTTTGGAGATGAACAGAGGAATGCATTAGGCGGCTTTTCTCTCAACGTATTTGGCTTCCTGTATATTTAAAAATAAATGTCTTCCAAACTAGCTTCGAGGACTGCATCCACGAAAGCAGCCTGGCTGCAAAGCCCAGGAGGTCGCAGCAAGTCAGGGAGGTGGAGGCCTCTTGGTTTTCCATCATATTTCTCTGGAGGCTTCAGGTGCTCCAGGAGGGCACCGCCTGCTGAGTCGGTTCAAGTCAACACGACACAGCTGGAAACCCCACAGCCTGGGCAGTTGAGCCGCCGCTGTGTGGTGGGAACACTGCACCCCCTCTGAGCTCCCGCCACCCAGCCTTCCCAAGCCACGCTGCCACCCTCCTGCAGACCTGGGTGAAGAGGGGCAAGAGGCTGTCCTACAGAGATGCTGAGGGTGACAGCTGCAGAATCACCAAACCTTGCTTGGCTGAAAACAAACGTGAATTCCACATTTTAATAAAACAGAAATTTTAATCTTCTGGACACCTGATGATACAAGTCAACCTATTTCTTCTGAATCGCATCTGAAACCAGGAGTTATCACATATTTCAAGATAAAACCGGACCGGGCTTTAAATGTATGATATTATTTCATAATAAAATTTACTTTTTAATATACCTAATAACTGAAAACCTAATGCTACAGTCCGCCATGCTTTAAAGAGACTCACGTAATGACCTGAAGGAAAATTTCCCTCTGAGATAGTCATTTCTTGGACAACTCCTTTCATCTGTAAAGGAGGAAATGAGTCAGCTTTACTAAGCGTTATCTCATGATTGGTGTTTTGTTATTCAGTAGGCAGAGAACACATTTTGTTACCTATAAAGCCTGTTATTACCAAGGGTACAGGTCACTACTGAAACCTCCTCTTCAAACAACTACAGGTACTGTTGTCAAAGATCTTAACAGACTCTGATTGGAAAAGCGCCTGGCTGGTCACAGGACTGCATGACTCACCGCTCTGTTCAGCATTAGCTAAACACAAAGCTGAAAGAACAGAATCAGCTTCATGATGTCATTTCTTCTCTATGTGTCTTTAACATCGCTGAGATATGTTAGAGGTTGTTGAGTAATACACGAAGCTTTCAAATAAGAAGAATGTGTCTGAGATACTTAGAGTAAGAACACATTTCAGGGTTATGTTTGAATATAAACATAATACATGCTCCAGGAATTCAGGGTTTGTGTTATTTGTTGATACAAAGTGTTCCGCAAGGTTTTAGAGCATATACACTAATCACCTAGGTTGGTTAAAGTTTAACTCAACTGAAATATTTTGGACTTAAAGAACCACTTAAGATATCAAGTTCTCAGAACTGATTGAAAAGAAAGAGCTCTCATCTACAGTTACCTGAAACATACCAAAAATTTCCCTGCAAAGATCATAAATGTTTCAGAATCAAGGAGAAATATGAATACTGTTTCCATATAGGTGGTGGGATACATTAGTACCTTTCTCTCTTCTTTCTATTCTTTACATATATTTAAGGAGCAGCCATTGCTTTTCTAGTTTAAAAAAAAAGTAGAAAAAAAAGTTTTTCGTTTTTCTCAGTTAGCTCTCTATGGTGAAAAACTCAAAAGCCAAAATGATGGACTCAGTAAGTTGACAGCCACCTTAAATCTGTGTTGACACCTTTCTTTGTAATGTCAGCAAAACTGTGTGACTGAAGATGAGATCACTGTTTACCTAGCTCTGCTATTGGTCTGAAACGAGCAAGTGTGAAAGAAATTCCCATATTTATCTGTTGGTGTAACCCTTGCAGCAATCTCTCCTAAGAAGTTGAATCACTCATTTTGGTAAGACCCAGCCAAAGATGAAGAAAGTATATTTAATCCAGCTGATGAGACGACTTACTTGGGCCAGATTTAGTTGGAAAGTTGCATGCTGGGGCAGGGTAGGGAGTGTTTCATTTGGGAAACGTTTGGTATCATGTGAAAAAGTTATGTTTCTTTCAAATTGAGCAAATCACTATTTAACTTCCTTTTTCCAGCCTTGCCTGTTTGCTTCTGGGAGGCCTTAAGAAAATATAGAAGATGTGTCAGACTCAAAAGAGGAAGTTAAGAGTCTGAAATGAGATGCCACATTCCCCTTCCTTACTCCTAAGTAATATAGCTTGTTTGTTAAGAAACTTGCTTCTATACACATTGTCCAACTTGTTCTGTGAAAGTTGTAGCGTTCAAATAATGGGTAATTTGTCACTAAGTTGTACTTTCATGGAAATATCACTTGAGCAATAACTTTCTAATCTTTTTTTTTTGGAGACAGGATCTCACTCTGTCACCCGGACTGGAGTACAGCGGCACCATCTTGGCTTACTGCAGCCGTGACCTTCTGGGCTCTGGCAATACTCCCACCTCAGCCTCCCTAGGAGCTGGGGCTACAGGCACATGCCACCACGCCCAGCTAATTTTTGTAGAGATGGGGTCTCACCAACTTTCCAGGGCTGATCTGGAACTTCTGAGCTCAAGTGATCCACCCACCCTGGCCTCCCAAAGTGCTGGTATTACAGGCATCAGCCACCACGCCCCGCCAAGCAAGAACTTTTGCCCTCTCAGTCCTCCACGATCAGACGGAGTTCTGAGTCACTTTTATGCCCCCTTCACACAACTTCACGCCGACTGTTTTTCCTCGAGATACAGCCTCTGCTCCGTGCCCTGACTCAATGCCAGCTCCTAACTTGCAGTTGTGTTCCTTGCTGTGACATCCTATATGCTGAATGTCCATGGAGAAGTGTGGCTCACTTTAACCCGACTAATTTCTAAAAAATAAGTCATCACAACCAAAGATGGGCATCATGTTAAAAGACAGCTTTCAACACAATCCATGTAGCCCTGAGGGTAATACAAGGTACACCAGGTACCAGGTATACCAGGTGTTTCCCATGTGTGCTTCCAGACAGATTCCAACAGTCAGTCATGACCAGACAAATATGTTTCCGATAAGGACATAGGCTTGAGATCACTCTGAAAAGCAAGGAAAGTTGTACCACAGCATGTTTATATCAACTGATCTTGGACTTGGGACAGTTTAAAAGAGATGAAAACAACAGAGTAACTTCATTTTTTCTTGCAACTCATTCAAAATGTATGAATTTTGCAACTTTTTTTTTTTTTTTTTTTTGAGACGGAGTCTCACTCTGTCGCCCAGGTTGGAGTGCAGCGGTCTTATCTCGGCTCACTGCAAGCTCCGCCTCCCGGTTGACATCATTCTCCTGCCTCAGCCTCCCAAGTAGCAGGGACTACAGGCACCTGCCACCATGCCTGGCTAATTTTTTTGTATTTTTAGTAGAGTTGGGGTTTCACCATGTTAGCCAGGATGGTCTGCAGAATTATTTTTATGCAGAATTTTATATAGGCTACAAAAGGCCTTCGCAGGATTAGAGGCATTCCTCCTCTCTAGCTGCCCAATCAGTCTTGGTCACCCCAGCCCCTCTCTCTGCTGCCCCCCACTTCACCCCGTCAATGGCGAGTCCCTTTCTTACTCCTCCAAGGTCCACTGTGTGCACAAAGCATCTTCCCATATTCAGATCTGTTTCCAGTCAAACAGGTGACAAATTCATTCCAATGAAATTATCTGTGACCGTTCACCTCTCCCACATGCACCAACGTCTTAAGCCAGAGAAGCAATACTTGTTTGACTTGAGTGAGTAATAAATGATCATTATAAATGGAAGAGAGAGGGTCTTCCCGCAGCCCTAGAAGTTTAAACACAGAATTTTCCAGCTGCTTCTGCCACTTGAATGCCATGTATATATATTTTGCTGAATAAAAACCAGGCCAATTATTTTTTCAGATTAGTAATTTTACCTATATATGAAATGCCTTACAAATGTGTAACATTTAAATTGCAGGTACTATACATTCAATTTTCTTTCATCAAGTGGTGTAAACTCACTAAAAATCAGTATTATCGTAGAAAACACAAAAGTCCTAGTAGGCATCCCAATCAGTAAAAGGGATGGCCATGAAAAGGGGATGTGGTCATAAAATCAGCAACAGAATTTTCCTGGCTTTATTGTCCCTCAGTGAAGCTACGCTGCAAACCACTGTCACTGACGTATGCTCCCCTGTTTCAAAGCAAACTTCAATCTCCTCCATAACCATGCCCAGAAAAAACTTTTCTGTAATGAATGGTATACTTTTGTAATTTAATACAATTACATTTATATTTTAAAATATTCAATATCTCATTTTTTGTTGATATTTTATGTCACATTCGCAAAGCATTTGGCACACCTACTATAAGAGTGAGTGAAAATTTTTTTTAAAAAAAAGGAAGGGAGGGAGGAAGGAAGGGAAGGGAAGGGGAAGGGGAAGGGGGAGGGGAGGGGGGAAGGGGGAGGGGAGGGGAGGGGAGGGAGAGAAGGAAGGCAGCAATCTTCCAAAGAAGTAAAAAGAGATATTAACCCCTACTGGTAATGCTAATTGACACATTCTCCAAAAACTGAATTAGCATAAAAGTCACTGCCAAAAAAGCTACTGATATGATTCAGTTCATTTTTACTTATTAGAAAATGGGTTGAATCAGAGTGAAATCACCTCAAATGTCCATGGCAACTCTGAGTCAGGCTGCTTCATGCTTTTATCATTGTCTCATTTAGTATGAAACAGAGAACAGTTATATATATATATATCTATACATGTGTGTATAGATATATAAACTATATATAGCTACATATAGAGTTATAAATATAGTGTATGTGTGTATATATAGAGAGAGAGAAAGAAGTAGGCTTTTTATAAACTATCTTAAGCTAAAAATAGAAGTATAACGCTATTCTATGTTTGAAGAAAGACCATTCTGTCATGCCGTGACACTAGTTAAATATTGTGCAATTATTTTTTCAGTGAATTTGAGACATCTGATGATTATTGATCTCCTTCCAAATGTCTCAACATCAACATCCAACAAAGCTGCTGAAAGGCAGTAATCCAATTTCAGAGCCTCGTAGAAGGCTGACTTCTATCTGGTCATCCCATTCTTAAATCACAGCAGTGGATTCTGGACAAGACTGTAGGTTTCTTGTCTTTTGAAGCACATGGATCCCATATATCAAAGGCCCGTAAGTTTTCTATCAGTTAGAGCCCAGGCTGAAATAATAAGCAAATTAGGGAACAATTAGTGTCTTCAGGTATCTACACAGTAGTATATGTGTGCAATTTCATGTTCCAAGGACACGATCAGAATTTGTGAATCACTCACAAGTTACAAAAAGTCAAATCACAAAAGGTATGCTTTGCTCTGCCTTGCTTGCTTACGAAATCATAGTCTCTTAGAAGGATTACAAATATTGATATTAACCCACACAGTATGTGAGGTAGACTTATCAGAGCACCAATGACATCTATGAAACAGACACACTTATCACAGGCATGAGACTGCCTTTAAACATTATTAGCTGATGTTGAAGATAACACTCTCACTGTGTCCCATTTCTAACTGATTTTTTAAAAAGGAAAATGTATTTGATATTTAATCATTCCTAATGACTACATCTAGTTAGGTTACCATCACATTGCTGAAGAATTTTAATACTTGCTGGTGTCTTAAAACAATTTAATATTCCATGCTTAAGGTGTAGCTCTAAACTTCAGATTCTTTGTTGTCTGAGGAATTAACTCTTAAAAAGAAGAAAATAGGCCGGGTGCGGTGGCTCACACCTCTATCCCAGCACTTTGGGAGACCAAAGCAGGCAGATCATGAGGTCATAAGATCGAGACCATCCTGGCCAACATGGTGAAACCCCATCTCTAGTAAAAACACACACACACACACACACAAAATAACTGGGTATGGTGGCGTGTACCTGTAATACCAGCTACTCGGGAGGCTGAGTCACGAGAATTGCTTGAACCCAGGAAGCGGAGGTTGCAGTGAGCCAAAATTGCACCACTGCACTCCAGCCTCCAACACAGTGAGACTCCATCTCAAAAAAAAAAAAAAAAAAGAAGAAGAAAATAAAGTTATAGTCTATTTGTGCAGCCCACTCAATCAAAGATGCAAATTTATGGTGAGATAAATATTCTTAAGCAAATTATAACACAATATTTAAATATACTTAATAATTAAAAGCTGGGATAAAATGATAAAGGGAAGAATCTGCTTCGATGTATCCTGTCCATGCATTCAGGTTCTTTGGAAAATCGGTGTTTCTGATATAGGAGATAATAATTCTCTGTGTGGATTTACAGAAAGGAAAAGCCCCAGTTCTTTCAAGTTATGGTCATACTTGTCTGATCCAAATTAGGTTAAAAATCTTCTTTAGATAGAAAAAGTTAGGTGAGTAGGTAAAGCATATCCCTTAAGCATTATTTGATGAGGAAATAGACTGAAAAGGATAAATACTAGCCATAGCATTTACTGAATCCAAAAGCCACATTGATTAGCACAGGCTCATAGCACCAACAAAATCATGTAACCTGGAGAGAAGAAGACATTTCGATAATGATGAAAATATGATTTAAAAATTTCTGGATGACTAATGTTTATAAGAACAACCGGAATCTCCACTGAAATATTACCAAAGGCAGATTGACAGGGAGAAAAACTTGCATAATGGTCACACACAGTGTTGAAGACATCATCCCAAATACACTTCTTTCAGGGTTTAAGAGTTTCTAATTTCCAATGAACAGTGGCATTGATAATCCAACCCTTCGTCCACTAGCAGTTACAGTCATTGGTTATGTGGCACATCCAAAAGAACCTCAACAACCCCAGCAACTCAGCATCCATGGCTAGCTCAACAGCAGAACAAATGAATAGCCTAGAGAGTTGACTATTCTTCTGAGCGTTTCATTAACTCAGATATGTCTTAGGAGATAAAAGAAGAAAGAAAAGTCTACAACTAAGTAACTCTCAAGGGACTGATCCGACAATAAAGTGCTTTAAAATTTCCGAGTAAAGCAGTTATTACACTATTACAAACTTAATAAATCTGCCTAATGTACTGAATAGTTCTGCCTTAAAAAGTCACCAAAGAAGCAACAAGAAAATGAATTATCTTTAAAATGGCATCAAACATATTTTCCGACATCCAGGAAGATCATGCAGCTTCAATCCAGTGGCCATTTTGGTTGAAAATATTGACAAATAATTCTGTATGAAAGCCACTCTAACGAGATAATGTTTGCAAACAAAAATTAAAATACAGCTTCTGTATCATCTGTCACCCAGGCTGGAGTGCAGTGGTGCGATCTGAGCTCAATACAGCCTCAACTTCCCAGACTTATGTGATGCTTCCTCCTTAGCCTCCTGAGTAGCTGAGACCACAGTCGCAAACCACCACATCCAACTAAAAAGTAATTGTGGTTTTCTCCATTGAAAGTAATGGTGAAAACCACAATTACTTTTGCACCAACCTACTAATTATTTTTTGTTTGTTTGTTTCATTTTGTTTTGTTTTGCAGAGACAGGTTTTGCCATGTTGCCCAGGCTGGTCTCAAACTCCTGGGCTCAAGTGATCCATTTGCCGCAGTCTCCCAAAATGCTGGGATAACAGGTATAAGCCACTATGCCTGGCAGGTAATTTTAATCCTATCCAACTCTTAAATAACATAGTATTATTATTACTATATATTCTTATTTTATTTAATTTAATTAATACCGTATTTTTTACATCATGATTACTGTACACACATACAAGTATAGATGTGTATATAGAGATAGAAACAAAGATAATTTTCAGAGTATAGACTTCCTGCAGACAAGCATCTTTTCTGGCTTACTCAACACTCTGTTCCCAACACCTAGCAAAATGCCTGGCACATGGTCAGTCCTTGAAAGTATTTGGGGTGAATAATATATATTTAGGACTTGCGTCTATTTGAACAGTCCTAAAAGTGGAATTAAAGTTGTGCTGTAATCTCAGTACTGCAGAGCCTAGGAACCAATGTCTAATGCAACCCTGGAGGATCTGCCATACCCTCTAGATCCTCATGGGTGAAAGCGCCATAAATTCTGCATGGGTTCTGTGGTTGGGGAGTGTTTAATTGAGGTTGTCTTTGGACAGTACAATGGATTGTGTGTCTTCGCGTCTTTGTACCAAATTGCATTGCCATGGGGACAATCTCTGAGGATTAGTGCCTGACTGGCGAGGAAGATGACTGAGAACAAATCTCCCTCCTCAGCCAAGGGAGCTTCCACAGGGAGCAGTTGGAAGCTGTGCCAATAACGATTGGGAAAAGAGGGTATTTTAAATTGGAGAATCAGTCGACAAGGGACACACTGTGAATTTGAGACTAAATTCCCAAGGACTATGATTAAAGAGCTTTGTCCATATTTTATGGACAAATAGAATACTTCAGTTTTTTTTCAAAGATCAACAGTATTTTCCATAGCAACTATTTGCACTTTTGATTAAGAATTATATATTTATCAGTCTTTTGCAGGCACACTAAGCATCATGAATATAATCACCGCCAAGACACAGTTCCTACATCATGGACTTTCTATGAGTGTAGGGCCTACAAACAACGGCCTTAGGACAATTCTAGCCTGCTGCCTGTTTTTGTGTGACTGTGATCAAAGAATGAGTTAAAAAAATCAAAAGAGGGATGCTATTTTAATGGCATAAACATTATATAAAATTCAAATTTCTGTGTGTAGAAATAAAGTTTTGTTGAAAAATAGCCTCATTTGGTTTACATATTGCCCATGGAACTTTCTGCTATAATGGCAAGGTTGAGTACTTTCAACAGAGACTTTATGGTCCACAAAGCCAAAAATATTTACTATCTAGCACTTTGCAGAAGAAGGGTGGTGACCCCCTGGAAAGGTTGAAGAGATAGTTATGTAAGTGATAAGTACAGTTGATAACTCTCCACTGTTACTGCAGCAAAGACCAACTAGTAAGAATTCTACAAAATTTTACTTTAGCCTCACAAAACTAAAAGATTATGGCATGCCTGTATATTTTCAGAAAATGCCTGACTTTTACTAATTCAAACAGATGGTTTTCACTATTCCTAAATAGCAAGGAGCCATCACTCAAATCACATGATTGACTATAGATCCATCTCTATTAAGTCATCTTTGAGGTGACCCAACAGTGTTCTTTATGTTACCCAGTGGTTTGATGATTGACCAGAAAATATGCAACTGGAATCAACAAATAGATATATTAAAACTAAACTAAATATCATCATGGCTACATAGCGTTGCATACAATTGACTGTAACAACATAGATATTAAATGATAAAAACATATAGAGTTCATTAAGAAGAATAAATTATTGATTATAGGGCCAGGCGTGGTGGCTCACACCTGTAATCCCAGCACGTTAGGAGGCCTAGGCAGGTGGATCACCTGAGGTCAGGAGTTTGAGACCAGCTTGGTCAACATGGTGAAACCCCATCTCTATTAAAAATGTAAAAAATTATCCAGGTGCGGTGGCGAATGCCTGTAATCCCAGCTACTCAAGAGGCTGAGGCAGGAGAATCACTTGAACCTGGGAGGCAGAGGTTGCAGTGAACCAAGATCATGCCACTGTACACCAGCCTGGGCAACAAGAGCAAAACTGCATCTTTAAAAAATAAATATATAAACATAAAAAGAAATTACTTATTATAAGATGAAACAAATTTTGAATGCTGATCTAGGTAGGAGGGTTCAGAGGTTAGGGTTAGGCCAGCCAGGGCTGAGAACTTATGCTGTTATTTAGCATCTGTGTGACTTTGGATATGTTACTTAGCCATTGGCCTTTCATTTTTATGTCAGTAAACCAGGAATAACATTTTTCAACCGTCAAGTTTATTGTAGGGACCATATGTAAAAATCAACTCAAAATGGATTAAAGACTCAAGTTCCAAAATTTTGAAATGACTAGAAGAAAACATAGAGGAAATGCTTAAGAACATAGCTCTGGACAAAACATTTATGGCTAAGACCTCAAAAGCACAGACAACAAAAGCAAAAATAGACAAATGGGATTATATCACAGTAAAAGGTCTGCACAGCAAAGGAAACAGTCAACAGAATAGAGAGACGACCTGCGGAATGGGAGAAAGTGTTTGAAAACCATTCATCTGACAAGGGATGAAACAGACAAAAAACAAATGATCCCATTAAAAAATGGGCAAATAAGCTAAATCCCCCAGAAGAAGACATACAAATGGCCAATAGATACATGAAAAAATGCTCAACATCACTGATCATTAGAGAAATGCAATTCAAAACCACAATGAGCTATTGTCTTACCTCATTTAGAATGGCTACTATCAAAAAGACAAAAAATATTAATAGCAAGTTGGCAAGAATGTGGAGTAAGGGGAACTCTTATACATGCATAAGAATGTAAATTAGTACAGCCGTTATGGGAAACAGTATGGAGTCTCCTCAAAAAAACTAAAAATAGAACTACCAGAGGATCCAGCAATTCCATTATTGAGTATATATTCAAAGGAAAGATGATTAGTGTGTGGAAGGGATATTTGCACTTTCATGATGATTGCAGCACTATTTACAGTAGCCAAGATATGGAACCAGCCTAAGTAGGTGGATAAAGAAAATGTGACATATTTACACAATGGACTCGTATTCAGCCATAAATGGGAATTAAATCCTGTCATTTGCAGCAACATGGATGAGCCAGGAGGACATGAAGTAAGATAAAGTAGGCACAGAAAGAGAAATACTGCATGTTCTCACTCAGATGTGGGAGCTAGAAAAGTCATCTCATAGAAGTAAAGAGTAGAATAGTGGTTCCAAGAGGCTGGGAAGAATGTGGGGAGGGGGATAATGAGAGGTTGGTTAATGGACACAAAATTATACCTAGATTGGAGGAGTAAGTTCCAATGTTCTATAGTACTGTAAGGTGACTATAATGAACAACAATTTATCGTTTTGTTTGTTTGTTTGTTTTTGGTTTTGAGATGGAGTCTCGCTCTGTTGCCCAGGCTGGAGTGCAGTGGCACGATCTCGCCTCACTGCAACCTCCACTTCCCGGGTTCAAGCGATTTTCATGCCTCAGCCTCCCAAGTAGCTGGGATTACAGACATGCACCACCACACCTGGCTAATCTTTGAATTTTTAGTAGAGACAGGGTTTCACCATGTTGCCCAGGCTGGTCTTGAACTTCTGACCTCAGGTGATCCACCCACCTCAGCCTCCCAAATTGCTGGGATTATATGCTTGAGCCACTGCACCTGGCCTGTATATTTTGAAACAGCTAAAAAAGTAAATTTTGAATGTTCCCAACACAAAGAAATGATCAATGTTTGAGGTGATGGATATGCCAATTACCCTGAATTGATCATTACATATCGTATATGCGTATCAAGCTATCACACTGTACTTCATGAATCTGTACAATTATTACAGGTCAATTAAAAATAATAAAAATGTTAAAAAAAGAAAAGAAAAATGACTAAAAATAACTTTCATAAAACCTTTATTACTATGCTTATCCCTGTGCAGGTTCCTGATAAATAGTCACAGTGATGGTGATGATGATGGTGAGTATGGTTGGCTCTATAAAATAATTCATGATAAAAGCTTGGGCATAAAAGGAGACAAAGAAAAAAAAGAGATGATAGCAAAGACTTTCCAAATGTGAAAATAACTGTACCATGGAATACTTTTCATTGGAAGCAAAGAAGGGCTGTGCACTTAGGAAAAGAACCAGAAGACCTGCTGGAGAGCTTTAATGTCTAATTTTGGTTACTTTTATGGATAATCAAAAAACATCCCAACATTGCTGTAGAAAGCACAATAAAAAACATTATTTTTCTCTGAAACTATCATACAACTCTAAGAAATCAATAGAAAAATTAGTAAGTCCTTCATTAACATTAAAAACTGAAAATTCTTTAGTTTTTCAGTCTGATAAAAACACTTTTGCTTGAGTCTAAGAAAAATTCTTGAAACTTTGTAATGAACTCGATCTCCCCACTTCTCCCTTTGATCCCTGTGCGTGAATTACAGCATTGATTTTTAGTTGTTTTTTTGTCTCATGTTCCTGTATATTTAGCTCCATTCTATAAATTATTGTTAAATTAGATTTTTCTGAAACTCCATCTCATTATTAAATTGATATTATTTATTAATGATTAATAATTATTAATATAGTTAATAATTTTAAAATTATTATTTTTTTTGAGATGGAGTCTCACTCTGTCACCCAGGCTGGGTGATCTTGGCTCACTGCCGCCTCCGCCTCCACCTCCCAGGCTCAAATCACTCTCCTTCCTCAGCCTCCCGAGTAGCTAGGACTATAGGTGTGCACCACCATGTCCAGCTAATTTTTGTATTTTTAGTAGAGACAGAGTTTTACCATGTTGGGCAGGCTAGTCTCGAACTCCTGACCTCAAGTGATCCACCCGCCTCGGCCTCCCAAAGTGCTGGAATTACAGGAGTGAGGCACCTCGCCTGACCTAAAACTCCATCTCATTATGCAACTCTGCCATTCCAGAATTCCCACAGGCTTTTATGTTGGTTGCTACACTCAGTTAACTTCTTCATCACTTCCTATTGTAACTTAACTGACAATCTTTTCCATTATTCAGCTGTTGCTCCTAATGAACCTCTTTTATGTTAACTGTTCTTTCTACTCATGATTATCACTCCCAGAACCGTGTTTTCTCTGCCATGTTCCTCTGGGTGGGCTCTACCCCCACCCTTTTCTTCTCTACGCTGGCATTTCCTGGGCCATGTCTTCCACAACACAACTCCTCCAATGTTGCTGCTTTTAGCATTCATTTTTCTCCGTCATTTCCCATCCTGTATTTCCAGTGACACAGTTTTAACTAGGAATGATCTCAATGGAAAGTTATATCTTGCTATCTAGTGAGTATGAAAAGGGTGACTCAGTACGATTTACTCTGCATCATCAAAATTAGTTCTGGCAAACCACCTCCAACACTTTTCTTCAACAATGCCATAAAAAAGTCCCACATGTAGTTAACAAAATAATAAATGTTGTGTCTGGTTCATCTTGGAGGGCCCTGTGAGGCAGGTGTATTGCCAACAATTCGACATTTTCTGGGTACATGATTCAGGGATCTTGTCCTCATTTTTAGGAAAGCAGGAGAGAACTGGCAATACCTATTTTGAAAAATATCCATATGAAGATTATTGTAGATACACCTCCTAGCTTGACTGTTGGGGCCAGGACCACCCATTTTTGTTTGCTTGTTTGTTTGTGGTTGTTCTCCATTGGAACATTAAATAGCCTTCCAATTAGGCAATGTTCTAGTCAGTTTCTTCATCTTCATAGGGAAACATAAATCTTGCCTTCTGTTTTGACTAACATAAAAGTAAATAGAGTTCTTATTAGCAAAAGAGAATTTGTGCATGCTAATATTGCCAGATAATATAATCACTAGTTCTCTGCTGGTTGTTATTAAAAGGCAGATGCATTGGGAATTCTGGGAAGATATGGGGTAATTCTAGCCCTCCAGATATTCTAAGCCATACTTTTAATACAGAAGATCAGAAAGCTGTACATTTGAGCCATATTATTTTGCATTTTTAAACTAAATTATGCTCGATTTTATTTCTTTGCCTACATTGGTGCACAAGAAACAGGCCATTGTTCATTAACAAGAGAATGGAAAATAAAATGTGCCGTATTAAAACACCAAAATACCATACAGCAGTGACAATGAATGAACTACCACAGTCAGCAACATAGGTAAATACGAAAATCTTAATGTTGAAAAGAGAATTAACACAACAGTAGAAATAGACCAATTTCATTTATATGAAGTTCAAAACTTACAAAAGTAGATAATATATTGTTAAAAAATGCCTGTGAAATAGATAAAAATATTTTATAAATCAAGCAAGTAATAAGCACAAAATTTTAGCAAGTTGGCACTCTATCAGGGAAGGGAAAACTAAAGACTTCAAAATATTGGCAAAGTTCTAATTTTTATGATGCATAATGATATGCTTTATCAGTGTCTTTGTGGCTTTCATATATATGCATATATGTATACTATAAAATATGTATGTATATGTATGTGTGCGTTTGTAGTATAATATAATAAACAAGAAGACCAAGGTGTCTCATGCAATCTGCTCTGACATCGCCCATGGGGGTGTTTGGGGGCGCTGTGCTATTATCCCACATCTGCTGTCGGAGGCCCGTTGACATGCTACTCACGGGTCTTAGAGCCAAGAAAAGTTAGTGACACTACTGAGCAACAGGTTTGTTTTGAACTCTTGAACTCTTACAATTACACTTATTTCTTCTTTGTTCTAGTCAAAAAAGGAAGTTCAGAATCAAATCTATGGTTCCTCATAATTACCTGAACAGGATTGTATTGTGTGCACTTGCCACACCGACCTGAGTGTGGTTGGGTAAACAAGAGCAACCCTTTGCCTTGCCTTTCATGACAAGCCCAGGGTGTTTGGCCCTGTGGAATATTCAGGCTATTGTTTTTTAATGTCAAAATTTTTTTTTGTAGAGACTGGGTGTCCCTAAAGCTGGTCTCAAACTCCTGGCTTCAAGTGATCCTCCCTTCTTGGCCTCCCAAAGCCCTGGGATTACGGGTGTGAGCCACTTGAACTTGAATGTGCCGGGCCATTGAACTTGAATGACCTTCGTCCTCTCCACTTTCCCAGAGAAAGATCCTCTTCCCACTAAAGCAGGTTGTGTTAGGTTCTTTGGAAGCTCTGGGTTTGTCATTAGACACATGGGGGAAGAGGCTACAGACAGAGTCTACGTCTCGCCCTGGCTGTGACCTTGCCTGAGTCACCCAGCCTTGCTGCTGGGCATCAGTTTCCACATCTGTAAAACAGAAGGGTTTTAGAGCCTCTTGCTCATACAGATATGAAGATTTAAGTGAGGTGTGTCAGGTAAAGCACTCAGGACAGCGCCTGACCAGACTCTCCTGGTCTCCTAATGGCCCCATAGCTTCTTGTGTGCATAAAGCAGTCAGTGCCCCAGTTCCTTAACACCCATTTAGCTGCTATTGCTGCAGTATTTCAGCTATTTTCATCTTCGTTGCACTTTTCTAAAACACCATTCGGGTTACACTGCATCTTTGTGTATAATCCTGCAAACACTGCCTGTCCTCAAGATCTAACCCAGTCTTTCATGACCCTTGGTCATCCACATCCTGCCTCTCTAGTCTTAGTGTGGGCTGTCTTCCTTAGGCTGGTCTTGGGTTTGAGCCTATCAATAAAACACACAGAGCCCTGAGGGTGCCAAGCCTCTTCAGCCTCCCTCAGGACAGCTGCGCATTCCGCCTTCAGCAGCCTTGGCTACCCCCACCCACACCCCCACCCCAGCAAATCCAACCCCAGTAACACACTGTCAGCTCCTGCAGCCCACAGCCCCAGGACAGCGTTTCTATTCCAGCCCCGCTCATGTTATGTTGCACCGACTCTTCGTATTTTATCTCTCCTGGACTAATCCTGCTTTGTATGTCAAGTGGCCAGGGCAGGCTCAGCCTGCACATCCATGCTGAATGAAGAAATACACTGAAAGGCACACGATAGTTAGACAAAATGTACATATTTGCAGCACTTTAATTCTCTCAGTCCATTAGGGTAAATGCTGACGAAATTATAGTAATGCCATTTAAGCATTTTGAATACTCTAGAAGCACAATGTATTCTTATCAGACTAATGTCACCATTATACTTCATCTAATGGGCATTATCTGCCCTCTCACTTCTCTGAGCCACCTAATAGGCAGCATGGAGGATTTGTGATGCATTGCATTTAGAAGAAATAATGTTTAAAGTGGGGTGAAATGGCTCTGACCCAAGGGGACTAATTAATCATTCTAGAAAATCGTGTCATCTCAGAACTGGACCCTGAGTTTCTTTAGCCCAGTTTAAACCAAGAGAATGAATAGCTTTGGGGGCTCCCAAAATTATTCGTATGATTCTGCTGTCTGGGAGTTAGAAGCTAGATGAAAATTCCCAGAGAATCACTTACGTTTGAGAAGTGTCGAGAAATTACTGCAGAGCACTATTAAACTAATAAGAATGATTGAAACCACGCACAGATGTCAGAAAGACATCATCAGTCACATACTCATGAACAGATATGTTACACAAACATTTTCAAAGGATGTGATTTAAATTTAATTTTTAAACCATTCTGAATAATTGTGAGATGGTGAGTTGTTCTTTTTAATGGAGGGGGGATGAAAAACCAATACAAACACAGCAATTACTATATGCCAGACATCGTTCTAATTGTTTGGAGTATGTTAACTGATTCTATGCTTACAAGAAATCTAGAAGTTTTTGTTTATTTTTTTTAATTTGGGGAGATGAAAAACCAATACAAATACAGCAATTACTATATGCCAGATATTGTTCTAATTGTTTCCAATATATCAACTGATTCTATCCTTACAAGAAACACAGGAGGTAGGTGCCATATCTTGCATAAGTAAACTGAGGCACAGGGAACTGAAGTATGAACTGGTGAAGCGGGGATCTGAACCAAGTCCTTGACTTGAGAGTCCTTCCCATCTCCGAGGAAGTGTCGCCCTCAATAAATACTAGAAATAGTTGGGTTGGCAACTCAGTGCTTCCATTAACTCCATGTGGCTGAAACACGGTTGGTACATTGTCAAAAATGGTAGAGAAATGTTCAATTACATGTGAGATTTGTGCCTATGTGTGTGTCTTGTGAGTGTATTATTTTGCTGGGGGAAGAAAAGAGCACTAAATTACTTAGCTTGACAGTTAAAAATACAAATAATATTAACAAATAACATATGAGTGTGTATGTAAGATGGCTCTCAAATGAAAGCTTTATTTCAGTGTGAATATAAGTATTACAGAAGTGTTGCATTATGAATGCCTTATTTGGTCAGGGTGAGACTGAGTTCTTTTAGAGTGGGATTTTCCCCTGGGTAATTGTAAACCACTAGTCCCAATTGTGAGCACTGGTGGACTTGACAAGATGTGTGGCTCCAATTTTCAATTCAATTTTCAATTTCAATAGTTGGATCAAATCCAGGAAATGTAGAAATGCTATTTTCCACGAAGCTAAGATTGAAGACATTGCTACCCATGCAGTTTTAAAACAAAGTGAAAAATATCAGACAGTTTCACATTTACTCTAGCTCTAGATACGAATGCTTTACAATACAAGAGAGCTAGAGATACAAATGCATATGATCATAAATACCTTTAAAATTAAGTATGAGTTTTCCAGAAAGTATTTAGGTATAGCAGGAATACAAGAAAAAAAACTGAGGCCACACTATAATCTATACAAATTGGGGAGAAAAAAGACAGTGCCATGCTGTTGTTGACTTGTATTGATGAGAGAGTAGCTGGCATGTTGGAATTCTGTGGCACAGATTTAAACATCTATGAGTCCCATAACTTTTAAAGATATATGGGGTCTGCCATATACACTGAACCAACCAGGATGCCCTAAGAGAGCATCAGTAGCAAGTCCAGCCACTGCTGTGTTGTTAGCAACAGCACCCATGCTTCGAGGGGAATACTAAGCTGCAAAGCAGGAACTTCCATGGGGAAGTCCTGCGAAGCAAGCAGAGTGGGGCCTCTGTGTTTTCCTGCTTTTAATAGAGTAGCTTATCTCTGCCCCATTGTCCTCAGCCTGTAATTTGTAAACTTGCTTCTGCTGATTGTCGTTGGCTGTGAAATCGACTCCTGCTGGAAACGGTTGACAGAACTTCTGTCTGCCTTTGACAAGCAGCTAACTCATTAAGCGACTAGTTTCTTTTTAATTCAAAATCATAATTCAACAACGGAACAATCTCAAAAAATGACTTGAAAATTCAGAAAGTAGTTTGATTTTTTAAAAAAACCTGTATATATTTTATGTACTGGAGGAAGGAGCAGGGAATTGTTTATTTAAATTTTGTTTTTCTCAGAAGGAAGTAACAGTAAAGTTGGTGTAGTTTTCAAATCCCTCATAGAGGAAAAATTTAAACAAATGGTTTAATATTACTCAATAGGTCAGTCTATTTACATTGCTATTAACAGTTATCAGCAGACTTAATACAATTTTAAGAGATTTAACAAACAGTTGGAAATTATTAATTTGAACAAGTTTAAAAATCAGTTTTACAGATGTATAACTGATGTTAGAATAACTAACAAAGATTCAATTATATGTGTATAGAATACAATTTTCTTAAGTATATAAAACATTTATAAGAGGAATATATGTAAGACATTTTATGCCCATATCATGGGCAATTTTCAGTTCAATATAACAGATATTTAAGATACCTTTAGCTCAAAGTTTTATTAATTAGAATAAAAAAGTTAAAATGTGTTTAATATTAAATGCCATCATTAATTCAACCAATTTAGTACATATTGCTGAAAACTGTTGAGTAAATATA
This sequence comes from Homo sapiens, assembly GCF_000001405.40. Lineage (NCBI taxonomy): Eukaryota > Metazoa > Chordata > Mammalia > Primates > Hominidae > Homo > Homo sapiens. The sequence continues at coordinate 3,835,154 of NC_000010.11, read as the reverse complement.
CTAATTGTTTTGCAATTCTGTACAACTTCACTGAGGTCTCTTAAACTTTTGACCTTCTTCATTTTCTTCAAAGACTATAAATCATGATATTTTTTAGTAATCTTTAAATTATTACTTAATCTTTTTAAATTTAATCCAATAGCAAGAATGTTTTCTGAGGCGGCAAATGAAAAAGAACTGGGTGATATGCACATTTACTGAAACAAAGATGAATAAACCCAGTGGCTTCCCTACACAAGATAATAATCTAGTCTGCAGAAATTGGCAACCTAATATAAAATAGAGCTGATGATAATTTCACCATAGGGATTTCAATGTTTTGTGACTATCTATCTATAATTCTAAACATTTTTTGACCACAGTCAAGGGGACAATAAGACCTGGTTTTAGAAATCGTTCTTACACATAATGAAAACTTGTTTGACATCCATTGAGGGAGCATTTATTAACCGCCTCTGGATGAGGTGGAGACTGGCGCTGGGATGTAGGTAGGACGGTGACAAGTGTGGTCCTATCACATGAAGGACAGTCATACAGAGGAAGGGTGAGATCCAGTGCCAGCATCTCAACACCATATGTAACACTTCCTCCTCTGCTCCAAACCAAGAAACAACCGCCCAGCTTCCTTCTCAGGAATCTCATCCATGTGTCTCAGACAGAGGGATCAGGTGTTGCTGAGGAGGAGGGATACACAAAATTCAAACACAGATGCATTTAATCCTTCTCAAAGCCTTTCCTATGAGTACGTATTGTATGACAGCTGGTTGTCCTCAAGAGCTACTCTAGAAACCGTCTTTGGATCTCAGAAACTACTAGGGATCCAGCCGGCCCCATTCTCCCCTGCTACCCTCCTGCAGACGTACATCCTTGGATAAGACACTTAGTTTTCCCTGGACTGAGGGTGATGTAGTACTTACCTCATTTCATTAAACTGATGACTTACTGATACAGCATCAAAAACAGAAGCCACTGCAGTGAACCTTTCTTAGTCCTGGGTGGAGAGCCGTGCATTGTACGTGGGTTAGCTCCTTTTGTCCTCAGAATAATCCATGAAGTAGATAGTAGCATCATCCTCATTTTAGGTTGGCAGCTGGAGTTCACATGGCTTAAATAAATAATGTGCCCCAGACTGCACCACGCGCGAGTGAGCAAGCGGAACCCCACCAGGGCGGCCTCTCTCTTGGTCTTGGAGTGTCACTGTTACTGCCATTCAGAGGGTACAGGACAAGCCCTGGGAGCATCCTTGGGGCACAGCAGCTGCTCAGAAGAATCCTTGTAATCCCGTCCTCTGAATGAGGGATTACTGGAGCAGTTCAGGACGGGCAGGAGGACTTCTGAACAGGTGTTGGTCTGAGCCAGGGAACCTTGGGAGCACTTTAGGAAAACCCTGGAATATCACTTTTTTGTTTGTTTGGTTTTTATTTTTTTTCTTTTTTTTTTGTTTTTCTGAGACATGGTCTTGCTATGTTGCCATGGCTGGAGTTCAGTGGTGCAATCACAGCTCACTGCAACCTCAACCTCCAGGGCTCAAGTGATCCTCCAGCCTCAGCCTCCCAAGTGGCTGGGACTAGGGGTGGATGCCACGATGCCTGGCTAAATTTTAAATTTTTTTGTAGAGACAAGGTCACACTATGTTGCCCAGGCTGGTCTCAAACTCCTAGGCTCAAGTGATCCTTCCACCTCAGCCTCCCAAAGTGCTGGGATTACAGGTGTGAGCCACCACACCCGGTTACTTCAAAATATTTGACAGCACCTGTGCCCACGACATCTTAGGGCACCACCCCCCTGACAGACTCCCTGATACAGGCATGAGATGTCTAAGGGTTTATTTTCCACCTGCCAGCTGTGTGATAGTCTAGCTTTCCAGGAACGCGGCCTCCCGTCGGGATGTTGTGTGTCTTTTCTAAACTGTTCCATTCATGTCAGCTCTGGTTGTCTACAGACCTTTATTTTTCTGCCTCTATAAAGATTCTGTCTTTCCCAGTGGGATTCTCAGAAAATGTCTTCTCTTTTTCAAGACTAGCCAGACACTGCCTTCAGAAAAAAATCTCCTTTCAATTGATTTCAAATAATGCTTTATACTTTGATAAGCATCTTTAAAAGAAAGACATAAACTTGCCTCCAGGCTCTGCAATATTAGCCAGTGTTTAGAGAATAAAGATACTGACAGAAAGAGTTTTGTATTTCAGTGATGGTCTATTACATTTCCTTAAACATCATCCTCGTCCACTTGATGAATGGTAAGATATTTTCATCTCTTTCATTTCATAAGCTATTACCGTTGAATAAAGTTAAAGCACTGAACAAAAAGACAGGATACGTGGCTGTGGTCTTCATCCTGAAGAAAGTGATTAACCATAGGACACCTTGAAATTTAAATCTCTGTCTCTTCACTCATAAAATGGGAGTTATAGTACATGAACTTCTTCACAGAGTAATTGTAGGGAAAACGATTAGTTCACATAAAAGTTATGAAAATGGAGACACTATCACCAAACTGTTATATATGAAACTCCTTTCTTTCTCTTTTCTGTTTCTGTTTTATTTTTGCTGTTTTTGAGATAGGGTTTCACTCTGTTGCCCAGGCTGGAGTGCAGTGGTGTGATCTCAGCTCACTGCAAACTCTGTCTCCTGGGCTCAAACCCTCCTACCTCAGCCTCCTGAGTAGCTGAGACTGCAGGAATACACCATCTTGTCCAGCTAATTTTTTGTAGAGACAGGGATTCACATATTGCTAGGGCTGGTCTTGAACTCCTGGACTCAAGCGATCTGCCTGCCTCAGCCTCTTAAGTGTTAGGATTAGAGGCATGAGCCACCACCCCCGGCCGTTCCTTAATTTTTGAGGAAATTGGCTGTCTGGTCATTTTACTGTAATTACAAATTCATTCTCATACTTCCATTGCCTTATACCTTTGCTGAGCAGACATTTAGTAAGTGCTTACTAAACAAAATGAAGCTGTTTTATTTCTATGGTATGTCGTGACTTTTCAGATGCACCCAAGCAACCTAAAACTGCTCCAACTACAATTTCTCCCAAAGCATACATTTAATTCAGGTTAAATTGGATATAAGAACAAATATGAGACTTAATTTTTAACATCCAGAATTCTTCATGCTGTTACATAAGTTCATGGCAGTATCATTAGGGCACCAACAAGAGGGGTGCAAATTACAGATTCTAAAAGTCATCACAATGATATGATTGCCTGTGTCCCTATTATGTCATTCATCCGGAGAAGTGACTCTTTTGTAGCCTGTGTAATTTCTCCAAGTAGAAACAATACATCGAAGATATCATTTTAATGTAATGCTCAGTGTTGTTTAGAAAATGTTGATGCAGATGTTCTTTCAATAGGAAATGGGAAATTCTCTCTCTTCTGTCCAAGCCTGATGCCAAATGAAGGCATGTTCCCCGCCTTCATTTTCTGTGTTTCCATGTTCCAGCTAAATCACGGCAGTTGAATACAACAGAAGTAAAATTGATTTAACTTCTGAAAGAAAGCTAATCTCAAACAAAATAACCACTTTTGCAATATACAGCTGATCTTTCCAAATATTAAATAAATGGGAAAAAATAAAGCTGTACGTTTCGGAAAGTTGTTTTTTCCCCTTTCATCTCCTATTACAAAAGCCCAGGAGTGGTATTAAAATCAGTTGGCATTCTGTGTATGGAATGCTATAAATAGCTAATCTGCAAATCCCTATTTAGGATGCAAATCAAATCTCTACAGATACTATTTGAAATAGGAATTGCTTATAATTTTTGGTGGCATTTTGCAGAAAACCCTCTCCTTTTCTGGGGAAAGGGTTACTTCTGTGTAGAAGTTCAAACATTTCTCCATCATTTTGAAAACAGATTAAAATCTCATCTCCCTAATGGGAAAAAATGGATGTCCTGATTTGCATGCTCCGCCCTGTCTGTGTTTGTCTCACAAACTGTTATCAGACTCTTTAACATTTCACTGCAGGACTCTTCTGAGCTCAGTGCAAAGTATGGCATTTCAGAAGAATGTGTTGTTTACTTTTTGAGTGTGCTGGGGCCTGTTGTCTGGAACCCTTTCTTAATTGGCTCTGATGCTTGAGTCAATAATAGAAAAGCAAACAGTGGGCATATTAATATTTTTTAAATAGATGATATTAAAATCCTAATCTAGATGACAGGTATTTAGAGGTGCAGACAGCCAGTCTGAAGGCCTTCATACAACTGGTTAAAAAAAAAAGCCTCTTTTATCAAATCAGTTTTAGCATTTTCTGCAGCTCTGTTCCCTGCTGGTATGTAGCATATGACATGATTACTGTGTTCTAGGCATTGTGCTAGAATTCCCAAGTGTTGTTTCTACTTCCTAATATTATCCACATGTTGCTGAGAAGGTACCGTACATGCCAATGGTCAGAAGGTATGGGGAGCCTCAGAGGCGGGACGCAAACCAGGTCCAAATTCAACGTCCTCTTAGGTGAGATCATGACATCGCTTCCTACTCTTCCATGGGAGCTGCTTCCAGGGATAAGAGGTGTTTTATTTTTATTTTTTTGGAGACAGAGTCTTGCTCTGTCACCCAGGTTGGAGTGCAGTGGCATGATCTCGGCTCACTGCAATCTCCACCTCCCAGGTTCAAGCAATTCTCCTGCCTCAGCCTCCCGAGTAGCTGGGACTACAGGCGTGTCCCACCATGCCTGGCTAATTCTTGTGTTTTTAGTAGAGACGGGGTCTTGCCACGTTGGCCAGGCTGGTCAGGAACTCCTGAGCTCAGGTGATCTGCCCGCCTCGGCCTCCCAAAGTGCTGGGGGCCACCAGGTGTGAGTCACCGTGCCCAGCCAAGAGGTCTATTTTTTAAACAGTTCTATATGGTCAATTAATATGGGAAATACTAACTGAAATAATGTTTAGCAGACTTTCGTGAATTCTTAGAGCCCTAAAATATGCCAGGGGCATTTTGAGTGTCTAAGAGAGGGATAAGATAGGGAGGGTCCCCGGTTCATTTTCTCCACCGCTGCCTCCCCCACCACACCCCCTGCAGAGGGCACTCAACTTTGAGAATGGCCTTAGAAGGATATTCTCCCCAGAAGTGCAAGGGCTTCGATACGCAGCCCCCAAGGCACAGGAAAACACGGCCCAGTGGGCCACGTAACTCCAGCACCAAACTCCTGGGCTTGGCTCATAGGACAAGCATGAATTCATGGGCTCTTTCACATCAACACCAACTTGAGCCCCTTTTGTGCCTGGTCCTGCTTTAGGCACTGGGAACACAGAGATAAATCACAAGGCCCTCAGCCTGGGGCGGCTCATTCCCCTGCTGGGCAGTTTTCACATCCAAATTAGGGATGAATGTGGAGTTCTGTGGTGGCACAAAGGAAGGTCGGGCAACCTGCCTGGGAGGATGGAAGCAAAGTCGGTCCCCCCATGCTCAAGTGCCAGGTAGCAAGATAATCTTTGAGCTACAAGCTCAGGAAGAGCCTCTCCTTGGAGACTGAGGCATCCTAAGCATTGTCAGGAAACAGCCTCCTCAGCCCAGCTCTCAGTCCACAGGGACACAGGCACAGAGACCCCAGACAGTGCCCAGGAAGTGCAGAGGGAGTGAGTGCAACAGGACAGGCCTTCCAGAAGCTTCCACATGTCCTGGTCCTATCAAACACCAAGTTCAGGCACTGAAAGACACCCTCATGGGAAGCTCTTGTACTTTCTTGTTTTGTTTTTTGAGAAGAGAATACGGTTTTGTTTGTATGGGTCTTTTCTATTGAAGTTCCCAGACAAATGCAGTAGAATTTAACTACTTTCTAAATATGGTACTTAGGGGCTAGGAATATATAGAGGTGGGTGTCTCCTTCATATCTAAGTCATTCTGACATTCTTTCAAAATACATTCATGTTCCTTAGACCTACAGTGTGAATACGGGAATGCCAACCCCCCTTTAAAAATCTCTCTATATGTTTTTTGTATTTTATATTACTAGAAACTAAACTAAGGTTTGATGTCTGTTTTTGCATATATAATCTTTTCTTCATCATACCACCATTGTGTTTTTTGACAACAGTCTTCAGAGTTTTATTATTTTTGTTAACAGCTTAAAAGACAAATACTGACGTCCTTGAGCTTTTCTTAGTTTCAGTTTCGATTCTGATTGTAGTTTAAAGGGAAAGAAAGAATTACCCATGAAAACTTCACGTGACTAAATGAAAGGTCAAAAGACTCACTAGTAATTTTTCAGAAACGAGGGGGTGGGTGCCGAGAAGTTTCCTTACATACCAAGTTTCTTAAGCGATGTCTGTTATTTTAACATCGAGTTCTGGCATGAACAGCATTCTACAGATCTTTGCCTAGTCATTGTTTTATAAGTTCCTTTAAAACAGGTTTTTGTTAATGTTTATGAATTCATTCATTACATTATACACAAAGTGGTGTAGCTTTATGTCAAAGCAATCCCTCTCTCTCTATTTCCGGATGAGGACAACTTCACTTATCTGCTACGATGGACGTCAGAATCATTCCAAGAACTCAGAGAGCTCGTGCCCCACGGCGGGACGTTTGCATGTTTCCAGGGAAAATGCCTCCTTCTTCTACTTCCTCCCTCACCCCATGCACACACACAGTGACCCACACAGTCACACACACACAGAGACACAGGTACCCACACAGAGTCTCACACAGACACACACCTACACATACAGGCACAAATATACACAGATACACATATGGCCATGCACATGTATACAGACACATGCACACACAGACACACAGACACATATGTGCACACGCAGATGCATAGTCACACAGATACACATATACACACCCTTATACATACACATGGACACACGTCTATACACTTACACACTCACAAAGACACGCACACATAAGCTCATGCACAGCCATACACACAGACACATGCACACATATATACATGAACATACACACAGAGACACACAGCAGTACATATACACACATACACACCCAGCACACACAGACACACATGTACTGTACACACAGACATGAATACACACATGCACACGAGCACATACACACCCCCAGAAGCATACGCGAACACGGGCACAGGTGCAAGTGCAGACATACACAGGGTCACACACACCTAAATATACACATGGAGACACAGAAGCACACAGACACGCTCGGAGACCACAGACACACACATGTACATACAGGAACACACACGCGCGTACATACAGGAACACACACGCGTACATACAGGAACACACGCGCGCGTACATACAGGAACGCACGTGCGCGTACATACAGGAACACACGCACGCGTACATACAGGAACACACACACAGAGGTTTCTTTTGGGGGTTGGAGGTGGGGTGTTGAGTTCCCCCTCCTCAACCCTCCAACCAGTGCTTCTCCCGATTACTCTTTCAGGGATCGCTACCAGATGTTACAGTCCGGTAGCTCTGAAACAAGGTCCCTGTTGCTGGAATTTCCCAACAGAAGATAAGCCTGGTCAGGAATGAAGAGCAAGGAATTCAAGAATCAGATGAAGAGTGTTCATTGAGCCAGCATAACTCCAGATTCTCTCCTCTCTCAGACTCACCTTTCCTAAGGCAGGGAATCCTGTCATAATTATAGAAGCAGCTCTGTCGTAAGCAAATAACAGCAAAGATGAGTCCTAAAGGCAAGTTAGCGTAAGTTAACATATGTCCATACGGCAGCACCTGCGGCCCTGACGCCTGCCTCTATGTGGACAGGCATGCAGACTCGGGCTTGAATTCCTGTGCCACCAATCACTGCCCTGTGTCCCCAGGGAAGTCATTTGCCTTTCTAAGCCTGAGTTTGTTTCTTGATCCACAAAAGGGAGATGAGACTGCCACGTAGCTACATCGCCTGAGTAGGCCAGCTCCTTCCCCTTCACCCCGGAAGAATGCTTCCGGTCCCCTTCCCTCTGCCCCCGAGAATGCTTCCAGTCCCCTTCCCTCTGCCCCCCGAGAATGCTTCCAGTCCCCTTCCCTCTGCCCCCCGAGAATGCTTCCAGTCCCCTTCCCTCTGCCCCCCGAGAATGTTTCCAATTGTGCGGGTGCTTCTCCTTCTCAGGGCTGGCCCACTTTCCAGCCCACTGTCTTCTTGACATCTCTTCTGTGACAAATTTCTCTCTTTTTTACTGCAACCTCGTCCATGGAGGCCACAAAGTGAGTGTGTGTGTGTGTGTGTGTGTGTGTGTGTGTGTGTGTGTGTGTGTTGGGAGGAGTGAAGCGGGGAGGAGCCTCACATCACTTGCAAATTAGCAAGCCTATCATCACGTTTCCTAAGGAACGGATAAGAGTTTTCTCTAACAGAAAGCCTCACTCCCTCAGCAGTCAACTCACACCATGGCCAGCTTCAACATATTTTTAAAATAAAATATCCTCTTATGACATATGATGGCTGACAAACTCCCCTTTCTCCCCTCCCTATTACTCACTCTCTCTTCCTATTTTTTAAGAAGGCGGCAGTGAGTTTGAAGTGTTCTTAAATCAATCGCGCTGGGCCCTGGTGGTACCGGAGGTCTTGTCATGGCACCTAACGGTTTTAGTCTGATTTTTAACAGATTCTTGGACACCAGAGGCCCAGGGAAATGTTATCTGGAGGCAGGTCTGGGGTGAAGGCACGACCCTGGAGCCGATCTGCAGGATGGCTTGAAACCGTGAGCCTGTCTCACGTGGCTGGGACCCCATCCCAGAAAGCACTCACTACCCTCCAAAAGATTCTAGTATCACAAGAAATCCCACTGCCTCAGGTTTGGAAATTTCCAAACCTGAGAAAACTGAGAAATACCCACATAAGTACTTCCTACCACCAAACTGCCGGGATGCCAGCAAAAGGCTCCATATCGTCCCCATCGGGGTCCACAGCCTGCGCGTCAGCCGTGAGATTGGAAGAAGCTGGGGTTGATAAGCAGCCCTGTGGGAACCAGCTATAAACGCACACATGGAGACAGAGGAGCACACAGGAAAATGGAAGAACTTCACGGCCAGTTTATTTGTAACCAGAGCCAAAGCCTTGAGCCAGCCACGCCGGTCACCGGTCAGCTGCAGTCGGCCTCACTGCCCGGCAGGAGCTGTGGCCACCACGTCATGGAGGAGTGGGAGGGCAAGGGATGAAGAGGGGGAAGATGAGAATCAGAGCCAAATCCTCGTGGCTCCCCCAGGCTGTGAGGACGCATCCCTGTGGGTCAGTTCCAGGCCTGAGCATTCCCATGTGTGGGAATCACATGTTTATTAAAACGTCAAGTCACCCAGAACGCGTGTGTTTCTGTGCTTAGCTAGCACATTATAGACCGTGTGTTATGAGCCACGCGTGGACTCCAGACTCATCACCAAGGTGGTCTTAAGCACCAGGGTGGTGTCAGGCAAAGGTTTGGGAGTTTAGCCTTCTCTGAAACTCCTATTAGCACAAAGTCATTTACATAGGCTGATCGGGTTCAGGGGTGGTGACTTGGTATAATTTTCCTATCACTGTGTGATTCTATTCTATGCCTTTACGTTTTTTAACAGCCTCCGTTTCCCCACCTTACGGAGTGGAGTTTCTTGATCCCATTCCAGAAGGCGCTGTGGTTTGCACCTTTTCTACCATATCCACTCTGCATTCTTCAAACACTTTATTTAAGGCAAATTGATTCTCCCACTGCCGCCTCAGGTTAAGTCTGCTGAAGTCAAATTGCTCAGTCCAAATTCCAAGGTTTCTCCTAATCCTTTGCCACACACCCTGCAACTTTATCTCTCCCTGCGGCCAGAGGCTTCCTCATGACCTCACGGCTGGGGCATCTGCTCCTGGGCTTTGCTCAAATCCTTCCAGACGTGGGGCAACTGTGCAAGCAGGGAGTGGCCCTGTTTAGAGGGCCTCAGAATCAAATTTCCTTTCTCTAGTGATTGTCTGTCGGGTAGAGATTGAACACCAGCATGGTAATAGAATCCAGCCATAAAGGCATAAAATAATACAGCCTATTTAAATTATTTTATAGCTGGCCAATATCAATGTTACACACATATGCCAGTCATCAACATTTTTTTAAACTAAAGCTTTTTACCTTAGATAAGCCTCATCCTCCATTTCTACTAGATTCTTGTCATGCAGATAAGAATAAAATACTCAGCTTGTACCTAAACAGAGGTCATAAACAAAAATAACTGACGTTTTAACCAAACTGTCTTCTGAAAGATTGGAAATGTCTTATGAAAATATTATTGGGGGAGAAGAATGAGGTCTGTGGAACTGCATTTCAAACTCCTTCTTAAAATATTTTCAGCTTAGGCGAACAATGACAGTTTCTGCAAGAGTCCAGAATTGTAAAATTTACAAAAAAACTAAATATAAAAACTTGCAAATATCTAAATACAAAAATATCTAAATATAAAAAAATGGATGGCCATTTTGGATATTGTTCTTATATAAAATATTTAAATAATACAAAATTATAACCTGGATCCCAGGACCACAGGATAGATTTGTAGTCAATAAAGACTGCTGTGTGAGACATCGTTAGGCTTACAGTTTAGAAAGTTCCTCCTTCGATATACAAAAGCAACAATAGAATCATCTTTTCTTCTATTCATACACGGCGACAAATAGAATCTATTTTTTAAAATATTTGTTCTATGCACCACTTAGAGAAGGAGAATTAGCAGATCTAATTGATCCAACTTCAAATTCTGTACTTCACCAGCCAAGTGGCCCCAAAGAAGTCACTGAATTTCCCGGACTCAGTGTATTCTCTGCTGTCTCACAGGTAAACTGCCTGCTTAGACATCCGCACTGCTCTTGGAAGTCTTAGTGAAACAAAGAGGTTGAGAGCACCTTGAAAACATCACCCAGGAAACCTAAGGACCCTGTCGCATCCCACATTCATTCCTAAAAATCTTCACATCTCACCTAGAAAAATGAAATCAATGTTGGAAAGATGAACCAAAGCTCTGTGCTTTGAGATTTCAAGTGATGTTAAGACTTTCTTAATATAGGTTGGTATTAAGAAGAACTCAAGTGGGTCACAGACACAAGATTAATCTTCATGCCTGTTAGGAGCCTCCATTGTGATCTAATTTTGCCTCCAATTACATGGCAGTGTTTTATCAACAGAACACCTTTCTCTTCATCTAGACTGTTTCTCTTTGAAGATCAGAGGGCTGTGACTTTAGCTTTATTTACAGGTTTGGCCAACTATCTAATTAGTGAGTCTGATAATGTTTACATCATCACTTTGATAAAGAGGAGAAAAGAATAGCTGAATTTCCCAGAAACCAAGTATGATTAAAATAAAAATGTGTCACATTCCTCCTCTTTAAACAAAGGCCCAAGCAAAAGAAATGGTATTGATACCAAGAGGAGCAACGCCATGCCTGGCTGCAGGAAAAAAAAGCCATATATGATGCTGTGATTCCTACAACATGGTATGATTCTTTATTGAAATGTCAGTATTTATCTGTTAAAGTCTAAGTAATGGCATGACGAAGGGTCTTGTAATTTTTAATTCACACCAAACTTTCTGTTTATTTTAATTGGCCAAATGTAGATCAATAAACAGAACTGCTAGTCAAATGGGAGATGAAGAAGTAATTCCAATCATGTCATACCAGGAGTGTGGATATACACAGAAGGGGTTCAGATCCCTTCACATCAAAAGTGGTGATAACTTGATGTGTTCAGAGAAAGATGGCTTTTTTTTGGGGGGGTGGGGTGGGGAGGAAAAGAGGCCCATATATGTTCATGTAATTTTAGCAGTTTACATCTCCACCTTCTCTGACTGCAAATCCCAGAAAGAGAGAGTCAGAGAGGCCGGTCTCTGAAGCTGACAATTAAATGATGTCCAGGTATTCTTCAGGAAGAGATATCACCCTTGGATACTCTCCATGCAATTCATGAAAGATAACGCCAATTTGTATAAAATACAAAAGATACTGAAGGCATCACAAAATCACAGAGCTGGTCATCTTCCTAAATATATGGGGTTATATCATGCTTTGAAATGGAAGGCCCTGCAGTAGGTAATCTGCATGTCAGCACGCATTCTCCTGTCCTGTTACTAAATCTACCTCTGACTGCGTGTCTCCTGACTTGGGGTGTGCATGGACACTGCCTTGTGACCCGTCAAGAAGGAAGCTACTTACAAAACCATTACATTCACATCCATCTAGCACAGGATTTGAATGTCACGTTGAGGTCTACCTAAAGAATAGCCATGAGAAAAAATATCTTCATCTTATTGATTTAATATATACTATAAATTTTTAATAAATTTCCCCACAGTGGCATTTAAGAGAATACATTTCAAAGGGAATTATTATACCATTTCATGGGAAAGGGATTCTCGTGTTGACCCCAGATCTATGGAGAACATGAACTCAAGTCAGCTTCCCGCTGGGCTCTGTCCACAGTTAACCAGAATCATCAATTCCTTAGCTTGGAATTCGCTTTGTTACGGTTGTCTGGTTATCTGGTCTTTATCTTAAAAAGATCTTTTCCGCCATAAGATAAGTTTGCAGGCATGGAGTCTGGATTTGTGGTTATTGTAAGTGGGAATGCTAAGGGCCAACATCTATGAATAATATAAATTGAAATGGCCAATACTGGAAATCTGTCTTTCCAGAGATAAAGGTTATTAGAATTTATGTGCCTAGCACACAAGGAGAAAAAGTAACTTTTTCATTTTGCTGAGAAACTAGAAGGTTTCAAAGTAAGTGAAGTTTGTACTCAGTCATGGATTAAGTCAGCGAGCACAAACATAATCTACCGGGCACTCGTCTACACAGAGAGGAGACAGAGGTGGCCACAAGACCCCTGAAGGCACTGACCGATGACTTCCCATGATATCCCCCCACCTCTGACTGCATCAGAATGGATCTTACAAATGTGCATTTTCTTTTTCTTTTCTTCTTCTTCTTCTTTTTTTTTTTTTTTTTTTTTTTTTTGGACAGAGTCTCCCTCTGTCACCCAGACGAGTGCAGTGCAGTGGTGCCATCTGGCTCACTGCAACCTCCCGTGTGCAGTGGTGCCATCTGGCTCACTGCAACCTCCTCCTCTCGGGTTCAAGTGATTCTCGGGCCTCAGCCTGCCAAGTAGCTGGGATTACAGGCGTCTGCCACCACGCCGGGCTAATTTTGTATTTTTAGTAGACACAGGGTTTCACCATGTTGGTCAGGCTGGTCTCGAACTCCTGACCTCAGGCGATCCACAGCCTCCCGAAGCGAGTGTGATGAATTTTAAGAAATGCATACCCCTACCCCTGAATGGCCATCCCCAAATCCGCAACCAACACTTCTGCTAACACAGAGCCTCTGCGTGCAGACTCCCTTCCCGCTCTGCCTCCAGCATGCCCTGATGGGGTTTCTATCTCGAAAGATGAGTTTGGCCTGCTCTAGCTGTTCACGCAGTGCAATCGGACCCCACCTGTCTTTGGTGTCTGGCTTTTTCTGCTCAGCGTGAGACCGAGATTCAAGAGTCACTGGTATGCATTGGATCATTTTCCCACCAGATATTGCTGTTTTATCAAGTAGATACTGAACATTTTAATTACATTGAAATTCCATTCATGACTTAAGAAAACAAAACTATTTAACATAGTAGACACTGGGGGAACTTCCGGTTTAACTTACTAAACGGGTAATCATCTAGCAATCATTTTGCAAATGATGAAATATTACAAATATGGCATTCAACATCAGAAATAACCATCTAAATCTTAACCATATAATATTTGCTGAAACACTGAAGTTTCAGATCACATACAACTCTGCCCCCTTCTTATTCAGCTCAAAGAAAAGCTAAGATTAAAACATATAAAACATACCCTTTTAGTTTTTTAGAAATACATGTGGAATGAAATGACCTCTAACTCACAGGAAGGAAATAATGATGGCGGCCTTCTGCACGGCCTGACGGAGGGTGGAAGGAGGTTTGTGGGCTCACAGCAGGAAAGGTGCTGCTTTTATTTCCATTTGCGTGGAGAGACTGGAGCCTCACTCAAGAAAATAACCTGATTACAGTGGCAGAGCATCATGGTCAAATAAACGTCAGCAATAAAATACATTCTAATCTGGAAGCCCAGTGTACGCATATGTGTGTTTATGTACACATACACATAGGCATGCGTGTACACACATGCACACACCTGGATGGAATAAAGCCAGGGCTCCTCTCAATGAATTTACTAGTAACTATTCCACGAGGGGACCTTCCTCATCAGCACTAGCTGGGATCCTGGATGGGGCATGTCACAGAAATCGTGGTCTTTGCCCATGGAGGCAGAGGACAGCAGGATCCCAGACCCCGTGGGATCTGAGGAAGGGCCCTGCCTCCCTCTGGATGACTTCTCAGGCTCAGGCGCTGATCTCTTCTGGGGATAGCATTGCTTTCTGCCCTTACATTCAGCATCTTCCAATATAAACTTCTCAGCGAGTTTGTTTGCTTGTTTTAACACGATTTGAGCAGGTTTTGTTTTGTTTTGTTTTGCGACCAAATATCCCAGACCAAGCCACATGCTCAGCTGGTAAAATGGAATTTTTCAGCTGAAAAGCTATGTCGAGGTATAACTAGAACTCTGTCTGACGTTCTCCTTCTGCAAGGGAAGACCGTGTGGAAGCACTGTTGTTCTCATCACGGTCACACTCTCTCCCCGACAGAAAGGTGCTGACGCTGTGGGGTTGGAGCTCCAGTTGAAGGTGTGGCCTCTGATGCCCGGCCGTCACCATCTGGAAGGCTTTTCTGAGTAATCCAGGAAGAACGCGGCTTTGCAGAGATTTTGTGGAAATTAACAAAGATCAGTGGCCCCCGCTCTAAAGATTAAAGGAGCATTCAAGTGTGCTTACATCATAAACTCACTTACTTGACTCCTGTCACCTCTGAAAGCTCAAAACCATTTTTGTCCAACTCTCTACTTCCCCCATAGTGGGTTGGACCACTGGTCACCATGGTGTTGTCCTTACAGATTTTGCTCTGGCTGAGCCACGTTTTGAAGGTGACATCAGATAATGATCATTGTGATTGGACCTGGGATCATCTCAGTGCAAAGATGTTTCTTAAGCACGCACGATGACAGAGATAAATGGCGTTCACCAATGGAGGTAGTTGTGATTAATAGTACTTCTTAGTGCACTGTCAACAAAGCTGCAAGTTCAATAGATTCCAGTCAATTAGGAAGTAATAGTGATAGATCCAAGCAGCCTTCCAATGAGCGTGAGGGCAGAGTGTTCACCAGTATGGAGTGAATTGAAGTGTTTGCCTTAAGTCTGATTGAAATCTTTTTTTGAACCCTTCCATCAGGCCTCCATGCGGTAGGCCTGCCAGAGATAACCAGCCCAGCCAGGCCCTATGATACTCCACAAATTTAGCTTCAAAATATGCAGTCAATATTGCTAAGGGGTCGTAATGAGCTCTAGATTACGTTTATCCTGGAGATAAATGTGCTGGAAAGCCCGCTTCACTCCAAAAGGAGCATAGGCGCTCCCTGTGAAGATGTTAGGAAGCCATGACGTGAGATAAGGATGTGCCAGTATTCTAGAATGTTCCTAGGCGGGGCTATTTGGAATGAGATGGGGTATACCCCTGAGAGCATGAAAGAGTGATCCGAATTGATGGTTGATGGCTATTTCCCTAACCATTGTAATTTCCATTAATCTTCATTCTCTTGCTGAGCAGTGGAGTCTGTTGTTTTTATTTTTTGAGATGGAGTCTCCCTCCATCACCCAGGCTGGAGGGCAGTGGTGCGATCTTGGCTCACTGCAACCTCCACCCTCTAGATTCAAGCAATTCTCCTGCCTCAGCCTCCTGAGTAGCTGGGATTACAGGCATGCGCCACCATGTCTGGCTAATTTTTGTACTTTTACTAGAGACGGGGTTTTACCATGTTGGCCAGGCTGGTCTCGAACTTCTGACCTCAGGTGACCAGCCAGCCTTGGTCTCCCAAAGTGCTGGGATTACAGGCATGAGCCACTGTGCCTGGCTGGAATCTGCTATTTTACAGTATGTTTACAGATGTCCCCAAATTTCTGTGGGGAGCTATGACTTTCTATGTCTAGAAACTTTGCGACCACAGGCACATGGGGATGGCATATGATGGAATCCCTGAGTGTATTTTTCAGCATCAAGGTCTTCATGGATTACGGTGGAATCACACTGCCGGCTGTTTCTCCTCCTTGTCTTGTGGTGGAAGGGAGATCTTCAGAAAGAGAAACAACGTCACAGTGGCCTGGACAGCTTGAGGATCTAATGATTAGAAACCTTAGAGTGGGAATGGGACTGTGCTTAATACAGAAAAAAAAAAAAAAAGAAGAAGAAGAAATGAATGAACACTTCTTTTTTTTTTTTTTTGAGACCGAGTCTTGCTCTGTCGCCCAAGCTGGAGTGCAGTGGCATGATCTCGGCTCACTGCAACCTCCACCTCCCAGGTTCAAGCAATTCTCCTGCCTCAGCCTCCCGAGTAGCTGGGACTATGGGAGCATGCTGCCGTGCCCGGCTAGTTTTTTGTATTTTAGTAGAGATGGAGTTTCACCATGTTGGCTAGATAGGTCTCGAACTCTTGAGCTCAGGCAATCCGCCTGCCTCGGCCTACCAAAGTGCTAGGATTACAGGCGTGAGCCACCGTGGCCAGCCTGAATGAACACTCTTTATGTGTCAGAAGTCCATCCACCCCATTTCCCCTGATGTGATTAGTCCTCTTCACATGCCTATATCAAATTTTCTCATGTAACCCATAAATATATAAGAGAATCGCTTGAACCCGGGAGTCAGAGGTTGCAGTGACCAGAGATCATGCCACTGCACTCCAGCTTGGGTGACAGAATGAGACTCCATCTCAATAAACAAAACAAAACAAAAAGCCAACAACAGCAAAGAAGATGTCAGGAAAGACAAGGAACTGGCTAACAGCTGCCTTATGTTTCAATCTTTCCTTAAAACTCAAGTCTATAGAGGACAGGCGAACAGCTGCCTTATGTTTCAATCTTTCCTTAAAACTCAAGTCTATAGAGGGATGGGCTGAAGCTGGATCTCTGTGCACTGTTGGTGGAAATGTAACAACAGTAGAGCCACTGTAGAAAACAGCATGGAGTTTCCTCAAAAAATTAAAAATAGATTTATCATATGATGCAGCAATTCCACTTCTGGGTGTACATCCAAAAAAATCGAAAGTAGGGTCTTGAAGAGATATTGGTGCACATAAGTCTACAGCAGAATTGTTCGCAATAGCAGAGAGGTAGAAGCAAGCCAAACGCCCTTCAAGAGATGAATGGATAAACAACATGTGGTATATATACACAGTGGAATATTATTTAGTCATGAAAACAAGAAATTCTGACATATGCAATAATATGGATGAATCTTGGGAACATTCCACTAAGTAAAATAAACCCATCACAAAAAGACAAACGCTGTATGATTCTGCTTATATGAGGTACCTAGAATGGTCAAGTCATAGAGACAGAAAGCAGGATGGTGGTTGTCAGGGGAGAGGAAATGGGGAGTTACTGTTTAATGGGTATGGAATTTCAGTTTTACAAGGTGAAAAGAGTTATGCAGAGGGAGGGTGTCGGTGGTTACACAACACTGCGGATGTATTAAATACCCCTGAACTGTACACTTAAAGGCGATAAGACAGTACATTTTGTGTTAGGTGTATGTTACCACAATAAAAGATAATAATTTTTATTAAAAAAAAAAAAGCTTTAAAGAAAACCCCCAGAAACTCAGGTCGAAAACTGGACAAGTAACTGAGCCTTCAGGAATAAAATACTTGTGGATGTATGTGTAAAAAGGAGTGAGGCTAGTAAATTCTACTTCAGTGTTCATCTCCCAGTAGAAAAGTGACTCTAGGGCTGTCACTGAAATGTTCTCTAAAGCTAATCCATGAGAAAAGTAATTTATGTTTACCGTCAAAGCCTCCTACATAAAGCTGAATTGTAATTAGCAAATACTGACCCCCCAACCTGACACATGTGTCATATCAAGATGCAGCACCTGCCAGTCCAACAGCCCCAAGTGGACAATTTCCATGGCTCATAACAACAGGCTCTGATTATTTCAGTGCCGGTATGCAGTGCTTACAGGCAGTTTCTGTACAGCAAGCATTTGACGAAAGCTTAAGTCAAAAGTGTGCAAGGAATTCCGCTGAGTAGAAGTGGAAGTTGGTTCATAGACAAGACAGACCAGGCATCGTGGAGCACTAGGCAGGTCATTGCACTTTTTGAGCTTCAGTGTCTGTTCATGGGAAACAGAATAATCTGTACAACCCTGAGTTGGAGTGAGAATCATAGAGATAACATAGTTTTCGAGTTCTTTGTAATCAATGAAGTGATATCAATGCCTCATTATTCTGTGAGCAGAATTTCTACGGGCATGTTGACATAAGAACACATCTCCACACACTAATGTCAAGTTGGTCACTTAAAAAAACATGTAGTTTAATTGGGAAAGTGCATAACATAATATTCTTCACAACTACTTAAAAAGTACCAAATTATTTGATAATTCTCCCACTGGGACGCAGGGATCTATGTTTTTTTTTTTTTTTTTTTTTTTTGCTTTGACCCTGGCTGAATGTGTGTCTGCTTCAACCAACAGATTATGTTGGATGTGACACTGTAGGTCTTCCAATAGGAGGTCAGAAAAAGCTGTGCAGCCCTTATCCCATACATGATATGCTTGAGATGTTTGCTCGGGCAAAAGCTAGCAGCATGTAATAAGTCCAATGACCTTGAGAGCACCTTTCTGGGAGGTTGCTGTAGGTGCTCCAGTCAACAGCCCCAGCTGAGCTCCAGCCAACAGGCTGCATCAGATGCCCAGCCTGTGTCTGAGCCACAGTCCAGCCTTCAGATGACAACCGCCCTGGCTGATACCTCACTGCAATTGCATGACAGACCCCAGCTAAGAACCGTGCACTTGAGTCTTTCCCATGGTTCTGACCCACCAAATCATAAGAAAAAATAGAATTGTTGCCTTAAGTTACTAAATTTAAGGGATAATGTGTCATATGGTGTCTTTGGTCTGCTATAACAAAATATCATAAACCAGGTAGCTGATAGGCAGCAGAAATTTATTTATCCCAGTTCCAGAGGCTAAGGAGTCCACGATGAAGACACTGGCAGGTTCTGTGTGGTGAGGGCTGAATTTCTGGCTCATAGATGGCTCCTTCTCACTGTGTCCTTATATGGTGGAAAGGGTGAGGATGTCCCCCGACCAATGTTTTAGGAGGGCACTTATTCCATTCATGAGCACTCCACCCTCAAGTCCTCCTCACCTTCCAAAGGCCCCACCTCCTAATACGATCACCTTGGGGGTTAGGATTTCAACATAAGAATTTTGAAGGGGACGTAGACACTCAGACCATAGCTCAAAGCAATAGTGACTAGCATGGGTTAGCATCATAAACATAAAAAAACAAGAGAGTGCAGCAAACATCTTTCCTTAACTTAGGTTCTTCCAGATGCCAGTGGGAAAAGGGTACAGATAACATCCAGCTTCTTGGGATTCCTTTTAAAGGAAATGTGGAAATATGGAAGAAAAAAAGCAAAGGTAACAGATTCAGTGCTATTCCTAGAACATGCTGCTATAACCCCAGCTTTAATTCCACACCCACATGTCTTAGAGCATCACCTCGGATGATGATGCTCTAAAAAATAAAATCGATAGCCCATGGATTGAACTACTTCTGGATCACCTTGGAGATCACCTGTCAAGGTGATCTGTTGTGTGGTTGGGTTTTCCTTCTTGTCCCTCTGTTAGTTTTGGGTTGCACCCTGATGAAGGTGGAATAGCACTAAGTCCTTTAAACTGTCTGAGTGTGTAGGAGCAGATGCCATGTCACTTACACAGGTGTGCCTTTCACCATGCATCTCGCACTGCACTGACGTGAAGAAGCAAGAATTCAAAAAACAGAGTAGTTGGTTTCAGGGAGTCGAGATCACGCCACTACACTCCAGCCTGGGTGACAGAAATAGACTCCTTCTCAAAAAAAAACCAACAACAAACAACAACAACAAACAAAAAAACAAAAAACAGACTAGTAGATTCTTTTCAAATAGCTTTTTTTTTTGCTCTGTGTATTTGCACAGCCAAAAAAAGAAAGCAAAAGAAACACCTCCATTCACTCGTTGCACGCGTGACTATCTTGCAGCAATAGAAAAGTCCTACAAGGGACTTCTCAAAACACATCCTAGTCTGCTAAAACATTCTACACCAAAAACCACATCAAAAAATATCCTAGGGGCCGGGCGCAGTGGCTCACACCTGTAATCTCAGCACTTTGGGAGGTGGAGGCTGGTGGATTTCTTGAGGTCAGAAGTTTGAGACCAGCCTGGCCAACATGGCGAAACCCCATCTCTACTAAAAATACAAAAATTATCCAGGCATGGTGGCAGATGCCTATAATCCCAGCTAGCTACTTGGGAGGCTGAGGCAGGAGAATCACTTCAATCCGGGAGGCGGAGGTTGCAGTGAGCCGAGATAGCTCTGCTGCACTCCAGCCTGGGCAACACAGCGAGACTCCGTCTCAAAAATAAATAAATAAATAAATAAATAAATAAATAATAAATAAACAGACTATACTTACCCTGTGGATTGAACTACTTCTGGATCATCCAAGAGTGTTTGCATTCAGGATCCTCGAATGTTCTGTGCATGAAAAATGAATCTAGTCATTGTGTTTTAAGTGCTTCAGTGAATCTGGCCAACGAGACAAAGTCAAGTGGCCAGAGCTTGTGTCATTTAAGAAAAAGCAGGTGACCAAGGCTCCCCTTCGGGGAGTGCCCCATATGTCCTGGCAGGGCTGGAGGGGAGGGGAGGAAACCATCAGCGACAGAGACAACGGGCTGTGGAAACCAGGCCGCTGGCCCTGGGAGTCAGCTCCCTTGAGCTTGAATTCTGATTTTTGGACTTTACCAGCTGTGTGATTTGGGGAAGATTTCCTAACTTCTCTAAGTGTTGGTTTCCCTCACATATAAATCAGAAATAATAACAGATTTGAGAGGAACATATTTTAATTTCAACAGCAGCAATTTCTCTCCAACCTCATGAGTCACCAGAGGACTTTGTGTGGCTTGATCATTGTGGTGTGCGTTCTTGTAGTGGCTTAAGCCTTAGAACAAACGCTTACTCCTCAAATGCCGGCAGATTTGTAAAATCAACGCCCTGTGTCTACTCCAAAATGCAGTTGATGTGAATGCAAACTGATGTCACTTTTAAAGCAAATTTGAGAAAATATACAGAAAGCCTTAAAAACGTATGTGTTCTGTCTTCCAGCATTTCTAATCCCAGCCTTCCCCATGAGCAATGGGGATAGTCACTATAAACCGGGTATGCATTCATACATTGTTTTCATACAATTATGTAGACCTTACAATTAAAGAAATAGATATTAATTCATTGATATAGATAATATACAGGCTACATTCTTAGAAGAATTAAAACAGTATGATAGACACCATTCTACCTTGATAAATTAAAGATGTGTGTGACTGTGAAAATAGACAGCTAGATGCCCCGTGAGCACCCCAGGTGTCCCGGCAGGGACTGGAGGGGAGGAAAACATCAGAGACAGAGATGACGAGCTATGGAAACCAGGTCCCTGGCCTTGGGATTCAACTCCCTGAAGCTTGAATTCTGATTTTGGAATTTACCAGCTGTGCGATTTGGGGGAAGATTTCCTAACTTCTCTACATGTGGGTTTCCCTCACATACAAATCTGAAATAATAACAGATTAGACAGGAAGATATTTAAATTTCAACAGCAGTGATTCAACCTCATTTCTCTCCAACCTTCGGTGTCAATAATGAAGGTATGAGGCATGAGTAAATAAACTGGACACAAAACCACTGATCTAGAAGCCTCTGTTGAAAACTCTCCTGACAGTGACCTACACAACGGCCATGTGACAACACAACAGAACCTGAGTGTTAACAAGCAGAACCCAGAACCCAGTGTCCTTTGGGATCTAGGGTTATGCTGTTACCTTCATCTGCAATTTCCCTTAGAAGAGGAGTCAGTGTACCTTCATTTGTATTAATAGAATTTATCAAGATACTTTGCACATTGTAAATACTTATGTATTTACTACTTAAAAAAAATCAGTTATCTGCGTTTTGAAGTTGCTTCAGAATTGTTCATGTCCTTTCTTGGTATCCCTGACTTTCTACAACTTGTACTTACTCAGAAATGCTTGGTACATATTTGCTGATATATCAGTGTGGTTGACTTTTTCTTTCCTCTCCAGCTGGGAACAAATTGATAGGTGTATATAGGTTGAGTATTGCTTATCCAAAATGCTTGGCACCCAAGTGTTTCAGATTTCAGATTTTTTTGGATTTGGGAATATTTACATCATAAACGTACCATTTGAGCATTCCAAATCTGAAAATCCAAAGCCCGAAATGCTCCAATGAGCATTTCTTTTGAGCATCATGTCGGCACTCAAAGTGTTTCAGATTTTGGAGCATTTTTTATTTCATAGTTTTGGATTTGAGATGCCTAACCTGTACTATCTTCTAATTATTATCATAAACAGGTGAATGAAGCTCTCAAAAGTCTGCCATACATATTGACTAAGAAGGCCCAAGCCAATGGCCTTTGTGACCGGAATTTCAGCACGGTTTATTTCTACATTAAGGAGAAGAACTTGAATTACCAGTAATTTTTTTTTAAGTCCTGCCTCCTTCCAGAATTTGAAGAATACAACGAGAGTTTCTTTCTTTCTTTCTTCTTTCTTTTTTTTTTTTTTTTTTACAAAGAAGTGTGTGGTCTGTAAGCTGCACTCTTTTAACAAGGGCTGAGCCCCAAGGAGCCCTTGGATGCATCCCACGTGATTTAGAGGAGGAAATTGGTCGCGGTCTTTGGAGCAGCCATGCCCGTGAGGCCCGGAGATGGGGCAGGATCACCTTCAGAGGGAGCAGCTCCCTGGCGGGCATGACCACCACAACTAGGGGAAATGTCAGCAGAGAAGATAAGTTGAGGACTCAGTGCAGAACAGCTTAGGGAGCCAAGAAAGCTGTCAGTGGATGGTGGAGGGAGGGTTGTGGTCTTTGGGGGGCTGGTTAAAGACTTAAATCCCCGAGATTTCCACGGGAACTGTGGCCGAGGCATTCCCTCCAGTGCCCACACTGCACTTGGAAGCTTCTCCCCACTAGGCAAGCGGAAGTTGTCCTGAGTGAGAGGGTGATGAGCTGAGTTAGGAAACTGATTCCTAAATACTCAGAGTCCCCTCCTCTGTTCTACATAGGCATCTCTGAATAGATGATTTTTGACATTTGACAAAATTGATGGCAGAGAGACAGGAGCTGAGTGATTGGTGCAGCGTTTCTCTGCACCCAAAACGTCATAGTACATGTGTCCTGAAATGTGTGGGCATCTCATCCACAGGGAAACGTTCGAAGTCACAGCTGCACCTATGCCTTTTATAGAATGACTTTCTACCCCAGCCCCTGCAGGTTAGCAAGCCTTCTGGAAACTAACTCTGACACCGCACCATTTTAGAGAATGTTTTTCACCTCTTAATAATAATCATAGTAACTCTCTCATGGGGCCCTTCCCCACACAGTTCTGCATGCTGAGTTCACTGAAATGGTCTGGCCCTGTCACTGCAGGTCATGGTATTTTCCTGCTAGGAGTTTCGGTTTCTGTTACAGACTGTGTGTGCCTGAGGTTTGCTTCTCTTGGCTGCTCTTCCACAGTGGAATGTTCTTTTTGAAATCGATGACTTTCAAGGTGATCATTACGTGCCAGAGACCCCTGTGAGCTCCTTCAGAACACCAAATTTGGACTCTCCCCAGCTCCCGAGCTGGCTGTCAAGGGTGTGAGCTGACAGTTGAGATGATTAAGCCAACTGACATCATGCCAGGAAATGCCACAATTTAGAAATTCATGTCAATGCCCACTCCTCATTCTATGAGGAAGGCCATGTGCAGTTTGCCAGAAATACTATTGAGAGGCACTAAATAACTAGCACTGATGAGTCTCTATTAAAATAAGATAACTTACTATACATTTCTTAACATATTTATGTTTACACAGGAAAAGCAAAACCATTTGACATTAGTTAAGACTTTAATTTTACTCTTTGAGCAAAGCAAGCTATATAACTAAGCTAAAAGGAAGGCAAAGACAATTTGCAAATATAAAATTGCTTTAAGGAGTCAACGTAGAGAATGATGCTATTAAGATTATCATCAGAATTCAATTACAATTTCACTCATTTTTAGTTATGAAGAAGGAACACATCCAGAAGTGCTGTGCTCGCCAACTGTTTAATATTAATTAGTGAAAACGGTGTTTCCTGATTTAGCCATGAAAGTTAGTAAAGCATTTCATTTCAAATAAATTTTTATTGAAAGCAAATTTTAAAACTACCTGGGGTTGTGTTCAGCAAGGCTTGGGAATTTGAACTTTTTCACATGTGAAAGTTTAAACCTTTTTCTTTTCCCTGTTGTGTGCAAAAATCTCCTTTTGTTTGTCCTCCTGTGGAAATCGTTACTTTCACCCATATATGGCTCCAAAAATATAAACCATCTTAGAGAGGCTGTTGAAATTATTCACTCTTGGCCTAGAGCTAATTGTGGCTTTTCACTCCTAACAGTATCTTATGAGAAAGTTGTAAGTGAAATTAGGGTCAAAATGCACATATGAAAGCCGTGTAGCATTCTCAGAAAAACCACACATGGGCTGTTTTTTCTGTTGTTTTTTTTTTTTTTTTTTTTTGAATATCTGTTTATCAAAAAGCTGCCCATGGTGATTCAGAGCCACATTTTTCCTCTGTGTGTATATACTGGAGAACTTTGACCACGCTTGCTGATTTCAAAGCAAGGCAATATCTTTTCAATGACATCAGCTTCCACTCCCTGTACCGGGAACTCACCGTTCTCTGAACTGAAAGTTGGGAGCTGGTGCCAAAGGTTGTCTCACCTGTGACTGCATTTCCTGTAAGCCCAGTTCACCCTGGCGTGGGCCTGGCCGATTCAGATAATGACACACACCTCTCCAGTTCTCACAAGCAACAGCCCCAAGACTAACTCTTCAGTCATCTCCAGACTATGACCCAGGCCATGGAGAGCAGCCACACCTGGAGAGGAGCCTGCCCTTGCTCTCCTGGGCTGTGCTGTCACTGGCAGTGAGAGTAGAACTGTCTTCCCTTCAGAATCACTGAATGATCAATAAAAAACTCTCAGCAGGGCGCAGTGGCTCACGCCTGTAATCCCAGCACTTTGGGAGGCCGAGGCGGGTGGATCACAAGGTCAGGAGATTGAGACCATCCTGGCTAACACGGTGAAACCCCGTCGCTACTAAAAATACAAAAAATTAGCCGAGTGTGGTGGCAGATTCCTGTAGTCCCAGCTACTCAGGAGGCTGAGGCAGGAGAATGGCGTGAACCCGGCAGGCGGAGCTTGCAGTGATCCCAGATCGCGCCACTGCACTCCAGCCTGGGCGACAGAGGGAGACTCCGTCTCAAAAAAAAAAAAACAACACTCTGACCCTTGTGGGCAGGAAGTGAGCCTTATAGGTTAACACGTGTGTGTGCCACAGCCAGAAGCCCCCGTGCCGACCCCTCTTCATGACATGGTTGGGGCTGCAGCTCCTAGGGACACAAACACATGAGATTCGGGGCCACAGGAGACCCCTACAGTGAAATGACAAAATGCCTCCCTGTGCAGCTCAGGCAGTGGACACCGTGTGATAAGAAATGGAAATAAAACCACCGTGTTTTTTTCTGTCCTGTAGCAGGAGGGTAGGTGCCTGCAAGCTTGTGCATTTCAGAAAGGGTGAATGACAGTGGATTCAAATTATCTCAAGGTGTTAATCCCCCATTTACATTGTGCTTCTACTGTATTGACAGACTCCTCTAGTAAGTATAAGGAAAAATTATCTCCTGGGATTCAAAGGACCAGCCTGCTCAGAAAACGGAGGAGATAAAGAATTACACACAGACACAGACAGATACACATACAAACACACACAGACCATACACACATACACACATGTAGATATGCAGGCAGACACACAGAGAGACTCACAGACACACATGCGTACACATAGACACACAGACACACATACAAACACACACAGACCATACACACATGCATACATGCACATATGCAGCAGACACACAGAGAGACCCACAGAAACACATGAATACACATAGACACAAAGACACACATACAAACACACACAGACCATACACACATACACACATGCAGATATGCAGGCAGACACACAGAGAGACGCCTACAGAGAGACTCACAGACACACATGTGTATACACAGACACACAGACATATACAAACGCACACAGAGCATACACACACACACGCAGATATGCAGGCAGACACACAAAGAGACTCACAGACATACATGTATACATACAGACACACATATACACATACATGCACACAGAGACACACAGAGACACACACGGACATACACATATATACACATGTACATACACAGATATACATACACACGTATACACATGCAGATATATAGGCAGACACATGGAGAGACACACACAGACACACATACATACACAGACATACACGCATGTACACACAGACACTGGGATATATAAGTACATATAGACACTGTAGAATGATCTTAACCATTCCTCTCTTCCTCCAGTAACTCACATTTCTAGGTGACTCTGATTTTCTTTAGCTTTAAACGAAAAAGCAAAATGCTTTCTATAATACCTCTTTGTTTGAAAGTATATTTTTAAAAAGATTCTGAATGGAAGATATTTTTTTCAAGTCCTCTCATCTTTTACTTTTCCGCTGGTGATATCCTCACTGAGTCCATTTGGACAAAGACCGTGGAGAAGCCATTGGGCGTGACACCCGGCGTGGAGCCTGCCCTTTCAGAGCAGGTCAGAGCCAAAATAGACAGCAAAGGAGAACTAAATCCAGGTTGAACAATGCTGGCCCAAAAATAGCAACAGCGTTTATGAGCACAGCAGCAGGAAAGGCTGCTAATCATTTGCCAGGATCTTTTATTTGGGTTTGTCACTATTGAGCGACACTGGGGACTTGAGGCCCCTGTCGAGCACACAAGTCCAGAATTCCAAATAAGAGACTCTAATAATAATATCTGGTGCAGAACCGTCCTTCCATAGAGAACTAAGGAGCCAGCGCCTCCCGTGCTCCCCAGGAGCTGGCAGGAGGGTTTCCTGAGCATCTGCTCTGCAGGGGCATCCCACCAGGCTCTGGCATGAATCCTCCATTCACCCTCACAGCTCCTGTTCGTAGCTTTCAGTGCTCCATGCTACCAATGAGGAAACTGAGGCCCAGAGAGTAAGACGGCCCAAGGCCACGCAGCTGGAAAGCTCTTCCTGTCACACCACGGATCTCGAGTGTTCTGTGCAGTAGGGAAACCTTAGACACTCTTCACTGCAGAGGGTGGTGCAGCCGAAAGTGTAGATCGCAGGGTAACTCTCCCAGAGCACAGCCACCGAGTGCAGGAGGCATGCAGAAGGGACGGAGAAGCATCCCCTCAGGGATGGGTGGACAGAAGTGGCTCTCCCAGGTGGCCTGATCTCTGTGGAAGGCAACACTCTCATCAGCAAAGGCAGCCAGCAGGACAGTCAGTCCACATAAACAACCAGCCAGAAGGAGAGAAGTGACTTTACAGCTCTTGACCGCACTGCGGGCTGGGATGCAGACGGATACGGCTGGAGCTATGGGATGTTATAGGGACGCAGAGCTAAGTAAGTCTGCAGGGGGCTTGAGGTTTGGCAATTCACAGCCAAGATTCCAAACCAAGGGAGGCTGCCTGGAGGGATGAGGTCTTAAAATGGGAAGTGAAAGCAGTGTGCAGGCATCCATCAATCTATGGCAGGAGGATTATTCTCCTGAAGCACAGAGCAGACTGGCAGAGAGAGGGCCTGGAAGGGAGGACCAGCTAGCTGGAGACAACTGCAGAACGCAATTATCGGTCTGATTTGAACTGAAGCAGGAAATGGCAACCCTAGTTGATATCTAGCCACAGACATTTGATGAAACAAAGCAATTCAGGAGTAGACTCTGCATTTCTCGTGATCTTCATGGCACCCAGAGACCCTAATTAGTTCTAATTGGTAGGGAAGGATCAAGTCATTCTGAACGGATGGAAACCCCAACGTCAGCCTGGGTCCTCTTTGGCATGCTCACATTGGGACTGACCCAGGGCCACAGAGAAGCAGATTGCAAGCTCATTCCCTGAGGGTGGTGCTTCCTCCAATACTTGCAACTCTCTCCTTGGGAACATCAGCTTGAGCAGCAAACAGGGCATTTGGAAAGTTGTCAGCAATCACATAGCAGCATTATCTTCAACAGGTTTATGTAACTGAGTTTCAAGTAAAGCAGGCTGACCACATGGGAGTGTTGGAACTACTCACAGGTCCACAGGACAGTGATGCATGAGGCCGGTGGTGATGGCTTCACTGATTCAGCTGCAGTCACACATAGTTTATAGAGAAGGCAACCCTGGGCTACGACAACAGGAAAACAGGGCCGTGCCCATCTTATTCATTCTTTATAACCAACGGCAAATATTTACTTAGCAATCATACAACGCCCATCACCAGATTAGACACTTATGTGGAACTTAGAATTGTACTGAATGCAAATAAGATGTTAATTATTACAACTGAATGATGCCTTTATAGTTAGACTCTAGATGCATTTTTAAGACACACTTGAGGGAGAAACATGGCCATAATGTCATTCACTATGAGGATTTTGAAAGAGAAATTGTTAGGACCCATATGCTTCCATATAAGCAACAGGATTTTAAAATTCGGGCAAAACCATGACTCGGTTTTGCTCTAAGATTCCTTTTCATGGCAGGAAATTCCCCTTCCTTCTGATAGGATGTTGTTTCCTTCTGGCTCTAAAAGGAATGTGACACCCAATTATTTGCCCAGTGGCTTCTTTCAGGACTTGGAAGGTCCCTGAAATGCCTCTCATTCTACTGAGAATCTGACCCAAACCACATGAACCTCAGAGACAGCCTGGGATGGTGTTTCAGAGGTGGTCAGACCGGAGGCCCCAGCCCCCTTCCTCCCAAACCCTCCCTCCAGGTGTGTCTGCAGAGAGCCAGCTGATGTCTTCCGGCCGATGTCACCAGGTGCAGGGTCTCGAGTCTGCAGCTGCTGAGCTGGAGTTATTTGTAAAAAATGGTAGCAGCAAGACAATAGATAGACATCTTGTCCTGAAGGCAGCAGGGCAATGACTCACGCGGATGAATCATTTTAAATTAGTCCAGAGGGTCTCGGGGGAACCAAGTTCTAAATTCAGGAAACATCAGGCTCTGACCAAGCAAAGACTGCCAACTCAATTTCATGATTCTAGAAAAAGAATTAAGAGAGTTTTTCGCTAGAAGAAAGCATAGAGAACATGTTATTCAATGGCATAATTCTGTAGATGTGAAAACAGAAGTCCAAGATCCAAAAGTCACTTAGCAAAGCCAGACAAAACTGCAGGTCTTCTGATTCTCAGCTTGGGAATTCTCTCTGCCATGCCATTGGGGCGCACTGCTCACTGTTTGGAAAACTACCGCACAAGCGTGTGAGAGCTTTGGGGTGACATGAGCAAATTATTAATTCCCCAGAGAAAACTGAGGCATTATTTTATGTAGCTAGGCAAGCATTACCCTTCCATTAGGGAAGCATTGGTTACAGCATAAATAATAAACAAGGCCACAGCCGGAGCCAGAACTGCTCACCAAAAGTTTCTTTTTTGGTATGAAAACTATGAGTGAATTTTCCCTAAGAACTTTCTGGCAACATGTACAAATAAAGCCACATCCACGGTGACAAATTGTGCTGGTTAGAGTTTAGCAGATGACACTCTTGTTATTGAAACAGGAACTGACTCAGCCTCAGCAGCTACAGATCATATATTTTATTCCGTTGTGTTGTCTCATTTGAAAAAAAACCTATCACATGGCAACACTGTTTGTTTTCTAAATAATACATTTTCTTCAGAGAAACATGTAAAATACAGATAAAGCCTTTGAGATCTTAATGAACGTTTTCTAGGAACCAGGAGATAATTTATCAGTTAATACGCCAATATTTAAATACTGCAAAATATGTTTTCACAAATATAATAAAATCAAATGAGTATTTTTCAATGAAAGTAAATACATGTTTAATGTTTTTGAAGGGCATAGATTCTAGTGTTTGAATCTGGTTGTAAAACCGTTTATAACACTGAATAGTAGCATTACTGCTATTAACTAAAAATGGATTTTTTTAAACACATTATAATGTACTTTTTAAGGATTTTATTAACTTCAGAAATTTTGTTCATTATGACCAGGGCTGGGCTGAAGTTTGTCTTTGTCTATTAAGCTTTGACATCTACACAGTGCAAATTGATAATCTAAAAAATGTATCTCAGGACAAGTGCTTAAAACACTTAAAGTTTCAGGTATCCACCCAAGGCGATTTGCCTGCTGCATACTGAGAATCTGTTTACAGTTCACGGGCTACTCCAGAACAATGCCTGTGCTGCTGAACAGTGCTGAAAATACATAGAGAAAGATCATTTAAATTCTATGATGAGATATTCACTAGTACACCCACCCAGACTTCAATGATTCAAATAGCAAGGCTTTCCTGTCTCCGTAGTTAGACGTGTGACATTTCTTGCAATCATGGGCTTCCCTAGTGAGATCAGTCTCTGCCTGAGGTACCGTTTATTTTGTAACGGGGTCTCCCACTGCTGGAAACTATTGCAAGACCACGAAAGATCAGAGACCCAGGGAGGTGATGGCTGTGGCCTCTACGCACAGAAGCCACAGAGGCCTCCCTGAGGCTGAGACTGTGTCAGAACCAGGCCCAAACCCACAGCACATCTTCCTTGCCCGCTGGCTTCTCTCTGTAAACACAACTCCCTTTCTGTGGCTCAATTATCTGCAGTATACGCAGCCATTAGAAAGACATGGACTTTTTTTTTGTTTTTCTGCTTTTCCCTCCATAAATCTCAGAATGAATAGTTTCCATCTGTAATTGTTGGTTTTATATTTTTAAATAGTGAACTAAGAAACATAATGTCTCATTATCTCTGAAATGATTCGAGCATTTGCTGCGTGCAACTCTGTCGATAACAGCACAATACAGTCATTTTACTTTGTCTGGGGGAGGGGAGACGCTTCAAGAAAGTTCCTTTTTTTTCCTCTACTAACTCTGTATTGCTAGTTATCTGCTGTTTCCACACTCTGCATAGATCTAATTTAGGTATTTAAAAAAAAAAAAAAGATACTCCAGACATTATCGTGGATTGGCAGTTTAGAAAACACATGTGGCTTCAAGCCTTCTTTGCAGATCTGAAGCAAATTATTTCTGTAAATGTGTGAAAAGTTGACTTTCCTAAAAAATGGCTTGTGGTGCATATGTGCTCAAATCTATTCAGAAAAACCACAGCGCCTGACATTTCTTCTCCATTATTTTCCTTGAGACATGAAGAGTCTTGTATAATTTTAGTTTTTTTTTAATGACAGATTCCGTCAATTTGCTTTTTAGAGTAACGTGTTTTCTTGTGCTCTGTCATGTAAGATTTTACCTGAAAGCACTGAGGAAGCAACTCTCTGCCCTGCCATCTGGTGAGGGCTTCTCGACTCATGAGAGTGACTCGGGATTTCTCACCAGAGGCTGGAGTCACTGTGGGAATGCGTTCATTTCACATACGGCCAGTCGCACCTTCACATTTTCACACTACTATGACAACATGCTACTTTAAAGCACCTTTTTTTTTTTTCTTGGTCAGGCAGTTCTGGGATTTAACTCCTAAGCACATGCTGCATTTGAACAAGATAACCTTTTAAAATAGTGTTATAAATAGCACATCACCAAGCGGATTTTCTTTCAATCGCACGGTATCTGAGGACAGGAAATTCTAGCCAAATGTTTACTGTCTACTCAGTCCCCAAAGTTAATCATTAAAACTAAGACCTGGCATGTTTTTATTAATCTGTTAATCACAACAATACTTTATTTGAAAATAAATCTAAAGCTTTTAGGTTGGCGCAAAAGTATTTGAGGTTTTTGCGTTAAAAGTAATGGCAATTATCAACCTGATAACTCATGCAGGGTATAATTTGCCTTCAGCCAGCTGACAAACTCCAGCATCTCATGAACTAGTGGCCACAGTAGCCACGAGACCCTCTTGGGTATGAACGAGTGTGCTTGTGTTTGTGCCTGTGTGTCTGTGTCTGTGTGTGTTTGTGTCTGTGTGTGTGTGTCTCTGTGTGTCTGTATATATTAGTGTTTGTGTGTGTCTCTGTGTGTGAATGTGTGTGTCTGTGTGTGTCTATGTATATGTGCGAACATGTGTATGTGTGCCTCTGTGTGTATGTGTTAGTGTGTGTATGTGTCTGTGTGTCTCTGTGTGGGTAAGTTTGTGTGTGTTGTGTCTTTTGTGTGTGTTGTGTCTGTGTATGTGTGTGAATATATATGTGTGTGCCCGTGTGTATGTGTCAGTGTGTGTATGTGTCTGTGTGTCTCTGTGTAAGTCTGTGTATGATGTGTGTGTTGTGTCTGTTGTGTGTGTCGTGCCTATGTATGTGTATGAACGTGTGTATGTGTGCCTCTCTGTGTATGTGTTAGTGTGTGTATGTGTCTGTGTGTCTCTAAGTTTGTGTGTGTCTGTGTATGTGTGTGAACATGTATATGTGTGCCTCTGTGTGTGTCAGGGTGTGTATGTGTCTGTGTGTGTCTCTGTGTGTTTGTGTGTGTTGTGTCTGTTGTGGGTCTGTGTGAGTATGTGTCTCCACTCCCAACCAAGACGTTTTCTAGGGGAGGGGGAACCAAGCCGAGAAGTCTGTGAAGATAGTCTATGTTTGAGACCAGGTGGGAAGAACAAGTGCCGAGTCAAAAGGAGGGGTTGAGCGGAACTTCGGGGACACAATCCAGCTCACTGTCCCCCACCCAAGACCAGGAAGTCACCGCTGTTGAGAGGGACATTTTGGTAGATCCCCAGGACTTGTGGGCAACTCAAGGACAATATGTGACCCGGTGGATGGATAACCCAGTAGAGATGGACATGTAGAAAACAGAACCAAACCAAGTGCCCGTCCTCCAAGTATTCGCCCCAGCTCTTCACCCTCATGGCACCCAAGGGAAGAAAAACCCACCGCTGTCAGCAGGTGACACCACCACCCAGTTTCACATCTGCAGGACCTTCCAGAGGAGCCATTTGTCACCATGATGTGAAAAAACAACAGAAAAGAGCATTTACATTTACTAGAGCTTCTATGATGTGCTGAGCGTGCATCATTTCCCTTAATCCTAAACCAATCCTGCCAGGTCGGCACGTCTCTAGAAGAAATTAAGAGTTGGGGAACATGTCTGCCCTCGGGCGGCTGGTCAAATGGCAAAGATCAGCCTCAAGTCCAGGCTGGCCTTCAAAAGCAGGTCCTGTTTTGATGGCACCGAATGACATTGAATAATGACATCAGTTTAATGCCTGTTATGAGAGGTGATGGATCCCAGGCCCCACAGGCGAGCTTCCAAGTTCTATAACAGTCAATAGGGAGTGGCAAAAACTCCTCAAGCCCTTTGCTATCAATTCTATTTCTGGGGCATGATGCCTGTAACTCTCATCTCAGGCCATCTTTCCCCCAGAGCCCTTGAAACGTGTCAAGGGACCCTTGAGCTGGGAAGGAGACACACGATTCCCCATCAGTTTCAACTTTGCAACTCAGATGTCGCTTTGAGATTTGGAAATGACCATGTGGACATCAGGCTGTTCTGGGCTTTTGTGAGAACCACTGGACTCCAAACTGTGAAGATTTCCTTGTTTGTGTCCAGCCACAATGAGACAAGGGAGGACCACCGAGTGAATCAGAAAAGACCTGAGCATACACTTCCACAAAACCTGCACTAGGCTAGCTTGTGTTTGGTCCACACACCAGAGCTTTGGCACCACAGAGACAAATACTGGGGGACATTCCAGGAGGAGGTGCTGGCCTCTCTGGAATTCTGTTTCTAGGAGAGCTTCCAGCAGGATTTGGGGTGTTCCAGGCTCTTTATCTGATCAACAAAACTGTAAAACGGGGATGTTGTAGTGGCCGTAGGATTGTAAAATATACGAGAGCTGAAGGGGCTTTTGAAGTGGTAGAAACTGCTCTGAGCAGTGGCTGACCAGCTGTCCTCGTCAGAGTCAAGTACTCTTCCAAGGCACTGGAATAGAAGGCCCTTCCCATGCACGCACAAATGCTGTGTTTTAAAAAACTTATTTCTTCCAAGAAGTTCTACGTAGGTCCTCATGCCCTCCCTGCAGTTTATATTTGAGGTTACCTACAAACAAATGTTATCTAATAAAAAAATTGCAATGTGTATATAAAGAAATACCTCAATGGATATAAAATCCCTAAATATCTTTTAGAATTAAGACTAAAAGAGAAACTGGTTATCACTTTGATAACTACATCCTGCCCATGCTTCCTGGCAGATAACGCTACACCTCACTTTCAGCCATCACCTCACTTTTCATTTTTAACTCAAAAAAAATCTGATCGACACATAATAATTGCACATATTTGTGGGGCACATAGTGATGTATTCATACATACGATGTAAAGTGAGAGTATCAGGATAGTTCGCATATCCATCATCTCAAACCTTTATCATGTATTTGTGTTGAGAATATTCAGTATCCTCCTCCTAGCTATTTGAAACTGTAGAATATATAGCTGTATAGTTTCAAGTCCTCCTAGCTATTTGAAGCTATGTAATATGTACTTATATAGTTAACTATATATGTATAGTTATTATACAATAATAACTATATAATGTGATCAACTATAGTCATCTAGTACAAAACACTAAAGCTTATCTAGCTGTAATTTCGTATCTTTTAACAAACCTTCCTTGTCCTTCCCCTCCCCATCCCTTCTCAGCTTCTGGCATCCTCTTTTCTTCTTCTTACTTCAATGAGACCAACTTTTATTTAGCTTCCACATATGAATGAGACTATGAGGTGTTTAACTTTCTGTTTCTGGCTTATTTCACTTAACATAATGTCCTCTAGTTCCATCCATGCTGCCATGAATGACAGGATTTAATTCTTTCTTATGGCTACATAATATTCCTTTGTGCGTATGTACTACATTTTCTTTACCCACTCATCTGTTGTCAGATACCCCGGTTGATTCCGTATCTTGGCTGTTATGAATATTGCTGCAATAAACATGGAAGATGCAGGTGTCTCTTGGACATATTGATTTTCTTTCCTTTAGATAAATGCCCAGTATTGGGTCATATTTCTATGTGTGTTTCTAAAGATCCTTCGTACTGTTCTCCACAGTGGCTGTACTAGTTTACATTCTCATCAACAGTGTACAAGAGTTCCCTTTTCTCTGCATCCTAGCCAGAATTTGTGATTTTTGTCTTTTTGATAACAGCCACACTAACCAGGGTGAGATGATACCTCACTGTGGTTTTGATTCACCTTTTCCTGATTATTAGTGATGATGAGCATTTTTTCATATGTTTCTTTTTCATGTATGTGTTTTCCTTTGAGAAATGTCTGTTCAGGTCAATTGCTCATTTTTTAACTGGATTGCTTATTCTTTTGCTGTTGAGTTCCTTGTATATGCTGGATATTACGCCCCTGTCAGATGAATAGATTGCAATTATTTTCTCACTTTCTTTAGGTTGTCTTTTCACTCTGTTGGTTGTGTTCTTTGCTGTGTGGAAGCTTTGTGGTTTGGTGTAATCCCAGTTGTTTATTTTTGCTTTTGTTGTCTGTGCTTTTGCGATTCATAAA
Source organism: Homo sapiens (assembly GCF_000001405.40). Lineage (NCBI taxonomy): Eukaryota > Metazoa > Chordata > Mammalia > Primates > Hominidae > Homo > Homo sapiens. The sequence continues at coordinate 3,799,459 of NC_000010.11, read as the reverse complement.
AATCTTACGATCACAAAAATTTATAAGATCTTTCCCTAGACCAATGTATTCAAGCATTTCCTCTGTTTTCTTCTATTAGTTTTATAGTTTTGGGTCTTACATTTAGATCTTTGATTCACTTTGAGCTGATTTTTGTACAGGGTGAGAGGTGGGGATATAGTTTCATTCTCCGACACCTCTTCATAATAAAAACTCTCAATAAACTAATTGAAGGAAAGTACCTCAACATAAGAAAAGCCATATATGTCAGACCCACAGCTAACATCATACTGAATGAGGAAGAGATAAAAGCTTTTCCTCTAAGAGCTGGGAAACGATAAGGATACCCACTCTCACCACTCTTATTGACCATAGTCCTGGAAGTCCTAACCACAGCAATCAGGCAAGAGAAATTAGTAAAGCACATTCAAATTGGAAAGGAGAAAGTTAAATTGTTTCTGTTTGCAGACGATGTAATCTTACATAGAGAAAAACCTAAAGATGTCACAAAAATAAAACCGTTATAACTGACAAATAATGTTGCAAGATACAAAATTAATACACAAAAATCTGCAGCATTTCTATATAGGAACAATAGACTAGCTGAGAAAGAAATTTAAAAGGCAGTATCATTTGCAATTGCTACCAAAAAAATACCTATGAATAAATTTAACCAAGGAGGTGAAAGTCCTCTATAAGGAGATTTATAAAACACTGCTGAAAGAAACTGAAGAGAATACAAACAAATGGAAAGACATCTCATGCTCATGGATTAGAAGAATTAATATTGTTAAAATACCCATACTACTCAAGCAATCAGGTTCAGTGTGCTCCCTATCAAAAAATACCAATGACATTCTTCACAGAAGTAGGAAAAAAATTCTAAAATCTGTATGGAAACATGAAAGATGCCATATAACCAAAACCATCTTGAGGAACATAAACAAACAAGTGAACAAAAGAACACAAAGCTGGAGGCATCACACTACCAGACTTCAGAATAGACTACAAAGCTATAGTAATCAAATCAGCATGATACCGGCATAAAAACAGACACACAGACCAATGGAAGAAAACAGAGAATCCAGAAATTAATCCAAGTAGCTACAGCTAACTGAGTTTTTACAAAACTGTCAAGAACACTCATTGGGGAAAGTGCAGTCTCTTCAATAAATGGTGCTGAGAAAACTGGATATTCACTCTTCTTTCTAGACAAATGTCACCTCATCAGGGAGGCCCTCCATAACCATCCTGAATATTCACTAAGTCCCCTTGCCCACCATTTCCCATCCTATCCCCTTCATAGAATTGTCTTCACCTGAGACATTACGTGTTTACCTGCTCCTTATTTTTCCCTCCACCAGAACATGAGCTGGGTGTGAGGAGGGACTTTGTTTTGATCACTGCTGCTTCCTGAAGACACAGACAATGGCCAACACATAGTAAGTGCTCAAAACAAAATATGCATTTATTTAAACTCTTTGAAGTCTTTGCAGAAGAAGAGCAGTGTATTGACTGGTGGAAAGGTGCTACCAGATGGCAGATAGAGATTTCTGACTCATCTGGATGTGCTAATGGAAATGAGAAAGTTGCATGGAAGAA